>NW_009646200.1:0-268330 GCF_000001405.40 Homo sapiens | reverse complement strand
GAATTCATACCCAAGCTCATTCAGCTTATTGTACGATTCTGTTCCTTGCCGCTGAACCTGGGACTGGTGTTCCGAATTATTTGGCTTGTGGTTCTTTCCATCTTCAAGCCAGCAATGTTGCATGAAACCCCTCTCATCCCCCAGTGCTTCCATCCCCTCTTCACCCACCGAGCCAGTGGTGAGAGAGAGTAGCCCACTCTTCCACACACATCTGTAATCAGATAGAGGAGCAAAACTGGTAACATCTGGTACTTCAGACTGCAATTGGAAGAGGCTAGAGTTCTCTTGGGACCTTGACAGATTTGGAAAATGAGTAAAAAGAGAAGGAAGGCTATCCCTGTGGGATACTCCTCTTGTAGCAGGCAGAATTTTGGTCCTAATAACATTTGCCCCCTGGTGTTACAACCTATGAATATGTTACCTTTCATGGTGAAAAGGACTTTGCATATGTAATTAAGGTTATGACTCAGTTAAACCTTAAGGCAGGAAGATTTTTCTGGAGTACTTGGGTGGGCCCAAGGTAACTATCTGAGCCCTTAAAAGCAGAAAACAAAGGCAGAGAGATTCGAAGGTGATAGTTTTTTACTGTGTCCTCACATGGTGGAAAGGCAAAAGGGCTCCCCAGTGACTCTTTGATAAGGGCATCAATCCCATTTATGACAGCAGAGTCCTCATGATCTCATAGCTCCCCAAAGGCTGTCTCTATTAATGCCATAAACTTGTGGGTTAGCTTTCAACAGACACATTTCCATAAACATTTAGATCATAGCAGGAAAGATAAAGCATAAATTAAGGAAGTTATTTCCTATATATAGTAGGTTGAGAAGGTGAATAGAAAATGAAAACAGACATGTGGTATCCAAGATGAGAAGTAGTGACACATCTATGAGTACGTCTTTGTATATCTCTGAGCTTCCAAAATATTGCATTATTTCACATAAACATTAAATTCCTAAAATATAAATTATTAAAACCAAAAAAGTGAATAAAAAATAAAATGTAATATAAACAATAACGAATAAATAATATAGCCACACTTAACGGCATTGAGGGAAAAAATAACCTAAGCAACTTTTGTAAACCATGTTTTGACTTAATACTGACAGCCTACAAATAAAAATATACATACATGTTGCACTCTAATCAGTAAATATGTTTTCCACAGGGCCATAAATTAGCAACTACAAAATCATTTTGTGTGCATGCTGAAATTGAAAAAGTACATTTGTAATGTGTGATAAAAATTGAAATTTTTACTATTAGAATAAAATTACAAATAAAGACAGGAGGTCCAAATGAATAAATCGCACCCTGTAGTGTTGGATTGGAATAAAGAGATTAGCATAACTCATGGATACCACAGCTAGATATTTGTGTGTATTTAATGAGCTAGTATATATGGGTATCTATCTCTCTATCAACATATAATTATGTGTTATATACAAAGCATATGTGTATACATGTTTCCTAACTCTGTCCACTGAGAGGGATTAAAGAGGTAACACTCTAGATAGTAATGAGCATACCCACCCTATGGATCTTGATTTGTAAATATCATTCCCAATAAAAGATACCAGAGCTCTTTGGTTAATCTCTTGATCTCAGTCTTAGAGCAAGGAGAATAGAAAGTGAGCCTGGGACAACTTGTGGTGCCAACAAGTGAGGATATGCTCAAAATAAAAGATAGAGATTTGTTTAAAGAACAAAGGAGGAAACCTGATGGGGTTCCTAATGCCTACAATTTGAACAATTTAGCTAGCAACATAAACATTGATAGTACTGGATTTTAACCCACAGGTTAAAATAAACATCCAGAAGTCCATATTGATATACATAAAGAACAAAATACACATATAAAAATTAACCAATGAGGCAACAAGAATAGCTAATCCATATAATAGAATTCCAATTAATAAATGTATTAAGAAAGAAGGAAGTGGGAAGCTCCATTAGGCAACTCCATTAATAATAACAGTTGAAGACAAGATCCATTAATGGATGTTAAAATTAGTAAGTGAAAGCTTGAAAGGAAACAGAATTTCTGTTTTAAATTAACTCCTCCAAGGTATCTATTAACATGAAGGAGAAATATAGTGCAGTGGAGAAACACAGTGGTTAATCACCTAAACCAAATAGAGTCTAACATTACAGGTAATAACAAATATTGACAAAATAAACCCCAGGATGTCATTTACTGAGAACACATAATTGATGGGGTTTCTTGCAAATAATGCATAACGTCAACACAAATATGTAAAAAATCAAACAAGTATTGAGGAATATACAATAACTGGTCAATACTTTTCAGAAGAGTCAAGGTCATGAAAAACAAGGAAAGATTGAAGAATATTGGGAATGGTTACAAACTACAGGAGACAAGAAAAATAACAGATAAGTGCAATGTACAATCATGGATATGTTCCTGGAACAGAAAAAAAAGATATTAGTGTAAATATTATGGAGAAGTAGTTTCTTAATAGCATTTTACCAATGTTAATTTACTAGTTCTGATCATTGTACCATTGTTAAGTAAGATTCTACCATTAAAGGGAGTGGGGTGAGGTGCATACAGAAACTCTTTACTATTTTTTTAATAATCTGAAATCTAAAATTAGGTCAAAATAAAAATTAAAAGATAATGATGTGTAAAAAATAATTTGAGGAATGTTAAAGACCAGAGTGCATTTTGTCTGAGCCATTCTCAGTTCCTGTACTACATATGTAGAACCCATAAACCCTTATAGTCTTCAAGGAGAAATATTGTAGCAAACTTAGCTGAGGGGAGCAGTCCTGCCATGTGGCCTGCTTTGATAACAAAAGGGACTTCAGAGTTTGAATTATGGATAAAGGACAAGGCAGAAACTTCAGAGGTTCTATAGTGCCAGGGAGAACCCTTGTAAAGTCTTATCAGTTGTGAAGCTCTATTAGTACAGCGAGAGATACTAGCATAGATTACAACTGCTGAGGCCCCAGCTGCAAGCACTGGTAGAGAGACAAAGGTAGTCATGCAGAATGGTGATGCTGTCCAGACTGTCTGAACTAGAGCTCCTGTAAGAACTGAAGACCACGTTTCCTTTGCTACTGCCATGAAGAAACAATAGTTCACACTCTTCCCTCACATTTCTAGATTTCATCTTTAGAAGAACAGGAATGAAGATTTCAAAGATTATGTGTTTTTACCAGAAATGTTCATCTACAGGAACTCTTTCATGTATTGCATGGGACTGAGTTTACCAAATTTGGAAAACACACACAGACATACAGATACATTTGCACACACACACTGCAAAACAACAGCAACGTCAGCAATGGAAACACAAAAATGTCCCATTCTTACCCTCCACCACTGAGTGGATGCTCATGAGGGAGATCAGGAGGCTAACTACAGCAATTGATATTCCCTCTGAAATACGTTATGAGTAATAACTGTGGCCTCTCTATTCTTATGAAATAATGTTCAACCTAAGTGTGATGAGGGGAAATGTAAATTAGATGACATTTAGGTAACATAATTTTTACCATAAGATTATGACAATTTAAAAAATAATCACTTTCGATGATGATCGTAGAGGGAAACAGCAACCTCATTTCTGAGTGTAAATTGCTACAAACTTTCTGGAAAGTGATCAGGTAAAAAAAAAAATGTTAACTATCCTTAATACTCTTTGACCTGGATATTCTACTTTTGGAAATCTCTGTAGCACCAGTGTCTGAAGATATATACACACAAAAATATTTACTTCTGCATTAATATGTATTGACAAAGCTTGAAAGCAACTAGTCTATTAACAAGAAAATGGTAGTACAAATTCTTGCAAAATGTGTTCTTTGAAAATTATCGTAGTCATTACAAAGAATGAGCCAGATGTGCATAATGATAATCATGTCATACATTTTAGGCATGGAAAAAAGAAAGTTTAGATTAAAAATTAGAAAATTTCTAAGTAGTTGGTATGGGTAAATGCAAATTTAAAGGGACAAAAATAAACTGAAATAAAAACATTAAATTAGACAAGTTTAAATATATAGAAACATTTTTTAAAAAGGAAAACTCGTTGGTGGCTATAATGAGAAAAATTATGTGTCTAGAAAAAATATATACTAAATGCAATGTTAGGATTCTTTATTAAATTTAAAGTTTATCCTTATATTAAAGTTAAACTTTAATATAATATTTTGCTACTCTTTGCAGGCCTGTTTTAAAATTTTGTTTGTTTTGGTTGTGTTCTGTGATTTGCATTTGAGCTATTGGTTCAAACACAGGCTGTCAAAAATAATGGCAACTAATGTAAATAAGTGACAATTTGTGATAAAAAAAATCAGGTAATTTACCGCCAAAGTGAATTAATTTAGGAAATGATTGTTTGTTTTGCTGATAGGTACATTACCTGCATGGAAAATATGCTCTTTATAGTCTATGGAAATGTCACTATATTTATGATGTTTCAATATTTTTTAATTAATTAATTTTTTTTTTTTTGAGATGGAGTCTCGCTCTATTGCCCAGGCTGGAGTGCAGTGGTGCGATCTCGGCTGCACTGTAAGCTCCGCCTCCCGGGTTCATGCCATTCTCCTGCCTCAGCCTCCCGAGTAGCTGGGACTACAGGTGCATGCCACCATGCCAGGCTAATTTTTTTGTATTTTTAGTAGAGACGGGGTTTCACCATGTTAGCCAGTATGGTCTCAATCTCCTGACCTCGGGATCCACCTGCCACAGCCTCCCAAAGTGCTGAGATTACAGGCATGAGCCACCGTGCCCAGCCTTATTTTTCTTTTAGAAAGAAGTCAGCCCTTTAAAAAATCACCAAGAATAAAAGGAAAATGTAGACTATTTTTGAAGAAATAAATTTACATGTCCTCTCTCAGATATTTTTACATCTTTTTTTACAAATAGGTTTAAGTAATTTTGTTGAGAAACAAAAAATTCAAATACGTATTTTCCCACTTCCTTTTCTTTCCATTTGAATCTATTCTTGATTTGTTAATGGAACTAGAAATCAGACAACATTATTCAAGCTTTAAAATAAAAAAATATAGTAATAAGACAATTGAAATTAAAAAATAAAAAAAAGAATTGATTCCATAGCAGTCAGTATTTTACAGCTTTGTGTATATAGATGTGTTACACTGGACATTTAAAAAAATCATGAATTCATTAAATGAGGATTCATCTAAATTCATGTTTTAAATTTCTACAACTTGCTACCAGACATTGTCATAATGAATTCACCCTGAAACACACCATCACCCTCACGTTTATCACAAATTAACAGAAATAGACAAACATTAGTGAGGCAAATCATGTTATTGAACTGGTGGTTTACAGAGAGCAGTATCATAATGATGGCACACAGGCCAGATCTGTCAGGAGGGAAATGACAATATAATTAGATTCTATGCCTCACAGGAGAATCTAGAAAGTGTCCACAGGATAGTCATTTTTTTTTTCATTTTCTCTTCTGCCAGATAATAAAAAGAGACTCTTAAAGAAGGAATATGTCAGATATACAAGTTTTTTTTTAAGTTTTGTTTTTTACAATATTTACATCTGGTTATTGCATGGCCTGTACTATTTAAATGCAAATTTGATATGCACATCCATTTGGTGTGCAAATCCAGAATTTGAAAGCATGAATTCTAAGCAGAGTGAAACCACAAACATTAATCTTCTGGTTTACCATCCCTCTAAATTTCCTTGACAATGATTATGGTCAAAATATTTGGTTCATACAAACATTGCTCCTAAAATTAATATAATAGTGTCTTATTGAAAAATTAAAAATATTGTGCCTGATTTTAGAAAGGGCATGTCAAATCCCTACGTGAATAGATGCTGTACTTCTGGTTGAGAAGAAAATGAAATCAATTAGACATTCTGAAGTTTCATAAAAACATGAAGATTGCAACAGAATTTTGGACCTTATGTCTTTATACTGCATGGAGACTTTTAGTCTTTTATCTTCTCACTTGTATTCATTTTACACAATTCTATTTCTTTCTAACTACAATCTGCAGTGATAAATGGACATAGAACAGTTGTAACTGTTCTTTTATAATGAGATTTCTGAATTAACTTTGCCATCTACATCTTTAAAATTGTACCAGATGACACAAGAGAACTATTTTAAATCCTTTGATCTTCTACATTTGAAATGAACACCTTAAGGAATATAACAAATTAATATCAAAATGAATGTTGCAGCTATGAAGAGTATATGTTTATTTAGGCAGGCATATATAACGAATGTTCTGATCATATTTATATTAGTAGGTTGAATTTAAACTTATATTCATGGAAATCTTGACACTTCTGTCAATATGAAATGAGGTAAGTGAATTTAAACATATTTTAATCTCTTCACAATCACATTTTTTATTATAAAATAATGTAGAAAGTTAAATTTATTAAAAAGGGAGAAAATTTTAAATCAGTTTACTTTTGTCAGTTCTCTCTTCAAGCAATTGATTTGTTATACTTTTACTATAAAGGCCAAGATTAAACAAATTATATAATTTATTATAAAAGATACAGCTGTTTAGAAATGTATGTACTAAATAAATATGAAAGTATTTACTAGACTTTTTATAAAAATTAATATTTAAATAAGGTAGATCAAATTAGTGAATTATTTAAAATGACTTTATTTTCTAAAAAGAGACATATATGCATATAAGTGTATGTGTATACTTCTTTTAATGAAGTGGATAGCATATACATACTGGTTATTGGTAATTATAAAATAATGCAATGATAATAACATAACTGTTTATTGGGTTAATACCATATGGAAGGAAGTGGGTATTGTTGAATCTAATCCTAATAATAATTATGCATGTAAGTTGAGTATTTTTACCTCCATTTTGCAGTTAAGAAAAATACATCCCAAGATGTTAACTCACTAGTCCAAAAGGATACTTAGGCAAACAATTGAACAATTGTCACCAGGAACTAAAGCCATGTTCTACTCTGTTTCCAGGACCCATGTGTTTTCTACTAAATCACACTAGTCAAAGTGAGGGTTTTAATATGAAATCTCTTAAAGCAGACCTTTGGTTATAAATACATAAAAGTTAGAATAATTGTATTTACATTAAATAGTTGTTTAAAGATTAAACACAGTGACAAATAAAATCCCTAGCACATATTAGGGAATATGCGTATTATGAAGAGAGAAAGAATATGTATACACCCTCTCTCTCTGTATATATGTATGTATGTATGTACATATGTGTATGTACATACATGTGTGTATATATACACTTATATGTATGAGAGAGAGGGAAGCATTTTTTAGATTGAGTTCAATAAAAATTTACAAATATTCTATTTAATTACATTTTCTGCAAATATAGGTAAGTGGAGAGCTCATATAATCTCTGTTCAGAAAGCACTTAACAATATTCCAGGTATTCTGTATTTTTTTTCCTCTTAACTGGAGCTTTCATAGTTTTATTTGCAACAGGGTGGAATTTTTTACATAACATGTTATTTTATGACCCATTTTGGAGGCTCCCCAAAAAGAACTACAGACATGTCTGCTAAATAAAACAGCTTTTATTATTAAATTGGGACATAAAATTTCAGAACAATGACATTGTAAGGAGACTGATATACTTAAAAATTTAACTTTTTCCTCTTGTAATGACTACAATTCATTATTCCAGTTTGGTTATGTTTTGTTAAGTGATTATTCTTTCTAAGCCCTTAGGAAAACCTTAGTCATAATTTGAACATAATTTTTTCTCTTCTACCTACATTTTATGATTTTATTTTCCTTATGTAAATGTATGATTTCCTAATGCTTCTTCAACTTGAATTTTAAATAACATGAGTGAATGGCACAATTTCTTATTTTGAATTTTGAATACAATATAGAGAAAACATCTGAGTCAGTAAATATGTATGTATTAACTTTTTACATCTTGGATCTTTTCATAATTATTGTAAGCATCCTATAACATGAATTATTGAAGACAGTGTATAGGTTTATTAAAGTAGTACTGTTAATAACGTATCTATTTAGTGGATAAAGTAAATGCACCTTATGGGTGGTCACAAACAAATTTGTATTTTTACCTCCATTTTGTACTGTTTTACCTCCATTTATGTAATGTTTTTCTCTGATTATTTATATACAATATGCCAGCTTTGATCTACACTACTTTTCTGTTTCAGCAAGTTAGATTATTGCTAAATTCAAGGCAGTAGGCTAAATTTAATATTTAAATTTCTATGCACTGTATTGGAAGGCAAATACTTTAATATCAAAATTTTACCATATTATTACATGAGTTCAAATTATATTAATCATTTAAACCAATGCGTCAGAAGGAACATAAATCAAATGTAGAACTGATAACTAATTTTTATGCTAGTAACTATATTGGCTGTTTTGACTCTGCTGAAAGATAAGACTCAGCAGATACAACTCATAAAGTCATATTTCAGCCATGGAATTTCTTATTTTGCTATGTTATAATTTATTATATTCAGTAACAAGATGTTTTATTTAAGGTTTAGATAAATTACTGGAATTGTATAGATCACTCTGGAAACAGAATTATATCTTAATATTTATTTAAAATTATTTATTTGAAAATAATAATACACAAGTTAATTATAAAAACACAAATATGTACATGCTCTGCCAAGTAAGATTATAAATTTTACTTTTTGGTAAAATATTCTATTGTCAGATAACTTTTTTATTTTATTTTATTTTATTTTTTTATTTTTTATTTTTTTACAATTTCTTTTTTTATTTTATTTTATTATTATTATACTTTAAGTTTTAGGGTACATGTGCACAATGTGCAGGTTAGTTACATATGTATACATGTGCCATGCTGGCTCTGGTGTGCTGCACCCATTAACTCGTCATTTAGCATTAGGTATATCTCCTAATGCTATCCCTCCCCCCTCCCCCCACCCCACAACAGTCCTCAGAGTGTGATGTTCCCCTTCCTGTGTCCATGTGTTCTCATTGTTCAATTCCCACCTATGAGTGAGAACATGCGGTGTTTGGCTTTTTGTCCTTGCGATAGTTTACTGAGAATGATGATTTCCAATTTCATCCATGTTCCTACAAAGGACATGAACTCATCATTTTTTATGGCTGCATAGTATTCCATGGTGTATATGTGCCACATTTTCTTAATCCAGTCTATCATTGTTGGACATTTGGGTTGGTTCCAAGTCTTTGCTATTGTGAATAGTGCCGCAATAAACATACATGTGCATGTGTCTTTATAGCAGCATGATTTATAGTCCTTTGGGTATATACCCAGTAATGGGATGGCTGGGTCAAATGGTATTTCTAGTTCTAGATCCCTGAGGAATCACCACACTGACTTCCACAATGGTTGAACTAGTTTACAATCCCAGCAACAGTGTAAAAGTGTTCCTATTTCTCCACATCCTCTCCAGCACCTGTTGTTTCCTGACTTTTTAATGAGTGCCATTCTAACTGCTGTGAGATGGTATCTCATTGTGGTTTTGATTTGCATTTCGATGATGGCCAGTGATGGTGAGCATTTTTTCATGTGTCTTTTGGCTGCATAAATGTCTTCTTTTGAGAAGTTTCTGTTCATGTCCTTTCCCCACTTTTTGATGGGGTTGTTTGTTTTTTTCTTGTAGATTTGTTTGAGTTCATGGCAGATTCTGGATATTAGCCCTTTGTCAGATGAGTAGGTTGCAAAAATTTTCTCCCATTTTATAGGTTGCCTGTTCACTCTGATGGTAGTTTCTTTTGCTGTGCAGAAGCTCTTTAGTTTAATTAGATCCCATTTGTCAATTTTGGCTTTTGTTGCCATTGCTTTTGGTGTTTTAGACATGAAGTCTTTGCCCATGCCTATGTCCTGAATGGTAATGCCTAGGTTTTCTTCTAGGGTTTTTATGGTTTTAGGTCTAACGTTTAAGTGTTTAATCCATCTTGAATTAATTTTTGTATAAGGTGTAAGGAAGGGATCCAGTTTCAGCTTTCTACATATGGCTATCCAGTTTTCCCAGCACCATTTATTTAATAGGGAATCCTTTCCCCATTGCTTGTTTTTCTCAGGTTTGTCAAAGATCAGTTAGTTGTAGATATGCGGTGTTATTTCTGAGAGCTCTGTTCTGTTCCATTGATCTATATCTCTGTTTTGGTAAGAGTACCATGCTGTTTTGGTTACAGTAGCCTTGTAGTATAGTTTGAAGTCAGGTAGCATGATGCCGCCAGCTTTGTTCTTTTGGCTTAGGATTGACTTCGTGATGCGAGTTCTTTTTTGGTTCCATGTGAACTTTAAAGTAGTTTTTTCCAATTCTGTGAAGAAAGTCACTTGTTAATTGCAGGAAAAATTAAGGCTAAAATATAGAAAAACACTTAAAGATTTTTAAATTATCAATTAATGTCCAGGTGTTTGGGAAAAATAAAATAAATTACTATTTTGCTTACATTATAGGGGAAAAATATTTTCCTGATTTAAGTTCCTGTGTTTATAATGAATATGAGATAGTAAGATGATATTCATAGAATGAAAACAGGTTTTCTTTGTATCCTTTTGTTCCTTTCCAAGATATCTGTGGAATACTGTTATATATTAGCCTACATAATTTCCTATAAATTTCAGTTTCACACATTACAATTTTGTTAACTCTGCAAACTTCCATAATTACATATATCTGGATTCATGCATATAGAACCAAATTATATATACATTTGTTTATACATGTAATTATATATAAATAGTTTACATGCATATATAATTCGTATATACACCTGTAAATAAATTATATAAATAAATATTTATAAATTATATATATATATATTTTTTCCTAGTCACCTTTGTGAGGAAAGGGTAGGGGCTTTACTAAGAAATTTGTAAATATTATGTTAAATGCAGAAATTGACTTACGATATATATAATATATATATTATATATATGAAAAGAGAGAGACAGATTCTTTTAATGCACATTTTAATACTTATACCACATTTGATATTTGGAACATTTCATAATCTAAAGTGGTAATCAATGTCAAATCCATATTATTATCTCCACTTTACAGGAGACAATATGAAAATATGAAGCAGAAATAATAAGAGAGAATCAATTAAAAGGTAAAGTATGTCACACCCTATCTCTATCTCTTCAATCACTTTTGAATATCCACATACTCAGGCACTAAAGTGAATCATACAGAATGATTTATTGTTTGAAAGAAAAAAAAAAGCAAACCTCTTGACTTGGTTGCTCTAAACATTTGTGTAAATAGTTTTATTTAATTTCAGTCCTTACATGACCATTTATTTGAGGAAATTTTCTTCTTTCCTGAATGATTCTACTTATTGTCTGTATCATTTATTTGGCAATTCAAATGCCATAGAACATTGGAATATAAAAAAGTAACAACGGTTTTGCAATTCTGACAATGTGACATAAATTGTGTGACCTTGGATATGTCACTACACTTCCTGAACCTAGTTCACAGGGTACAGTGTTCTTCCTTTTTCAAGGTTTCACTTTCCACAGTGTCAATAACCTGTGGTCAATGCAGTCCAAAAATATTGAATTAAATTTCCAAAAATAAACAATTCATAATTTTAAATTACACGCCATGCTGAATAGTGTGATGAAATTTCACTCTATGCTGCTTTATATCACCCAGGATATGAATAATCCCTTTGTCCACTTTATACATTTGTTTATACTACCCACTCACTGGGCATCAACATCATCTCTTTCTGACATCCAACCATAGTCATCGTTATGGCCAGATGATCCCGGATCACCCAGAGCCAATGATCCCCCTTCTGACATATTTTCAGAAGGTCAGTAATTGCCTAACATTACAATACTTACATCATGAACCTCATTTCAACTCACTGTGTACGTATTATATCATCTCACATTATCACAAGTAAGATGTGTACAGTACAGTAAGATATTCTCAGACAAAAAGAGAGAGACTGCATCCACATAACTTTTTTACAGCATATTGCTCTACTTCTATTTTATTGTTGTCATTAATCTCTTACTGTATCTAATTTATGAATTAAATATTATAGTATGCAAAGAAAAAAACCATAGTACAGTCATTCCCATCCCATGTCCAGGATTCTCCACAATACCAAAATCTGCAGATGCTCAAGTCTCTTACACAAAATGGCATAGTATTTGAATATAACCTACACACATCCTCCCATATACTTTAAATCATCTCTAAATTACTTATAAACCTAATATAATGTTATGTAAATAACTGTTATACTGTATTTTAAAATTTGTATTATTTTATTGTTTTATTACCTTTTTTTCCAAATATTTTCAGTCCATGGTTGCTTGAATTGATGGGTATGGAACTCATGGATACAAAAGCCAACTTTATATAGAGCGTTAGCTACTACATAGTTTCGTGCATCCACTAGAGGTCTTGAAACACATTCCCTGAGGATAAGGAGGACTACCGTATTTGTAGACATAAAGAGACCTAAGTTGCTGCAAAGCAGCCTAGTAAAGTGAGAGGGAACAGAGACAGAGGGTGTTAATTAAGAGGATGGCTTCTGGAGTTAGGAAGTTAAATTTGAATCTACCACTTTGCTTGTGAGGTTAATGTGTT
Organism: Homo sapiens; assembly: GCF_000001405.40. Taxonomy (NCBI): domain Eukaryota; kingdom Metazoa; phylum Chordata; class Mammalia; order Primates; family Hominidae; genus Homo; species Homo sapiens. The sequence continues at coordinate 255,732 of NW_009646200.1, read as the reverse complement.
ATATCAGTGTTTTCAATTATTGTTAATTTTATTGCCATGACATAAATCTTAAATAATGATTATCATATTGTTCACTTTTAAAATATGTTTTTGTGGCTGGGTGCAGTGCCTCACATCTGTAATCACAGCAGTTTGGGAGGCCAAGGTGGGCAGATCTCTTGAGCCCAGGAGTTCGAGAGCAGCCTGGGCAATGTGGCAAAATCCTGTCTCTACAAGAAACTATTAAAAATTATCCTGGAATGATGGCACATGCTTGTAGTCCCAGCTATCTGAGAGGTTGAGGTGGGGGGATCCTTTGAACCTGAGAAGTGGAGGCTACAGTGAGCCGTGACCGTGCCACTGCACTGCAGCCTGGGTGAGACAGTGAGACCCTGTCTCAAAAAATACAATACAATACAATACAATACAATACAATACAATACAATACAATACAATACAATACAATACATAGACTCATTTAAATTCTGTACACTTATCAAGTTTGATTAAATTATAAACTAAAATGTATCCAAAAACTGTGTATAGCATGTGGCTTCCATAACATATTTCTAGATGGGAGATGAGATCTGTCTGAAAACTGGAAATACTTGGTGATATAAATGATTCCAGTTAAAATTCATTTTTTAAATTTGGCAAATATAAAATTATACTCAGTGAGAAAATAATTAAAACAAAGAACCAAGTTGCTTGATTTTTAACAGAGGCAGCCCAGAATATGGTGGCTCAAGAAAGATGATTATTTCTCTTCCATCTAGTGCTTTAGAGGTGAAAGGCTCCATCCACGTTAATGATCCACGAGATCACCTAAGAATCTGGTTTATTCTATATCGTCACTCTACAGACCCCTAAATGTTTTCCCTGCTCACATACTTGAGGCTGGCTCACTGGTACCACCTTCTTATTCTGGGTGAAGCGCAGGCATTTTCCCTGTTAAAGCATATGGCTCAGAATTTGCATACATTCCTTTAGATTGCATGTCACTAGTTGGAACTTGGAATCACATCCATCCCTAGCTGAAAAGAAACTGTGTTTTCTAGCCTGTCTATGTTCCAGCTTTAAAGAAAGGTGAGAATGGATGCTGAAGGACAATTTGCTTTGTTACAACTCAGTTAATATTTCTAGAAACATTAAAATGATGACTCCTAATTCAAATTAATGTCTGAGTCTGAATTTCAGATAGCATAAACTGAAGAGGGAAGTGAGGATACAATAGAGATAGGGAGGTAGTATTACCAATAGTTAGGTATATTTACCATTTTTGTCATCTTTTTGAAATATTTTCATAAATTATTTATCCCCTCATGAACCGATATTTTATCTATAGACAGTTTTTTCACTGCTCTTGCTGCAAAAGTGGGCTGTAGGGTTCCAAAGCGTGTGCAGAGAAATAGTTTGGTGGAGACCTTTGGTGAACATCTTATTTTCATATTTCTTCTGGCTTCAAAGAACAAAATCTATCCAAGCTCCCTCAATGGAATGAGAATCGTTAGGGATGTAGCAAGCTCACAGGCATCAAGACCACTGGGGTCTCACGGGAGCATTGTGGTTTGATGTGAGAAGGTGCTAGAAAGTATTTTCTTCTCTTCTCTGTATGTATGCTTCTTTCTTCTTAGTCAAAATTTTTTTTTAACTGTGCTGCATCTTTTCTCTACAGACTTGACTCTACTGATGACTAACAGTTTATGCATAGGCATGGCTCTTAGCTTTCAGCTCAGCTTTCTTTTATCCAAATCCCACATACTTCATAAGTTTTTATTAAAAGTTTCAAATGTGAATCTGATTAGTTGTCAATTCTTAGATATTGTAGGACAGTTTCTTACAACTACTATGATTATGAGTAAAATATTTCAAAAGAGCTATTTGCAGGTTAAGCTAGATTTACTGGACTTTTATCATTCTGCCATGAATATGCTTTGTACCTCTGTTCTTAAGTCACTTGTAAATTGCACGTGCCTGCTTGTTTTAAGGTTAGGAAAACAACAACAACCACAGAAACTAAATCTACTGTCTTTATTTCATGAAATTCATAGCCTATTTTTTTAAAGCTCTTTTTGTACTGTGAACTCAATTAAAGGGATGTTAATATGGAAAAAATAATGCATTAAATTACACACATAAAACATATGCCTTTAAACCATAGATACACCCAAAGTTTTATTTTATATTAAAAATTGATAAATTATGTAGGCATATACAACTTTACACATTCTGAAACAGAGAAGGGCTATTGGGTAATTTTTATAAACATTAAAAAGAAGTTCATATGAGAACAGTAACACTAAAATGATGCAGTTTCTTTTAGAAGTCTATCTTATGTGAAAAATTTCTTAAGGTGTAGACTTAATTTTTGTTATTTACTCAGTTAAATTTATGTATACTGACAGTCATAGCTTGAACTATATACATCATATAGAAAAACATTTTAATTTTTTGTATTTATGTTCTACAGTGCAGTGCTCATTGATATTGTCCACAAATAGAATTTATACAAAATCTTTTTATATAAAAGGAATCCAATATGCTACATTGTATTTCCAAATGAATCAAACTAACTTGGGCTTTGTCTAAAGACAAAAAGTAAAAATATAAAGAAGGAAAATAATATTGATAATTTAGATCAAATATATTGCTACAATGAAAAATGCAGTTTTACTGATTTTAATCTGCCAGAATTCCTATAGATATTTCTCTGAAGAGGAACAATTTTATAACCATCCTCTGTAATTTTTATGGTAAATTTGAAAGTTAAGGTCATTTTTCTCTTTATGTTTCATTTTAACTACAATGTCAATTATTACACTATACTCATTCTGGTAGCTGAATAAGTTATTTTAAAAAATGAACTTTCTGTCCTAAAATTCAATTGAGTAAAAAAATTGATAATAAAATTTATAACATCTTAAAATTTAATAGCTTATGAAACTATGCTTTTAAAAATAATTTGAAGCAAAAAGATCATAGGCATCTGAATTTTTCAAAACAAAATGTGTCAGGTAGTATGAATATTACTAAATAAAGGAATAATCTAGTAAATGAAATGGTAATTTGATTGGTGTACATGTCAATTCATTAATGAGTTTAAACTCATTAAGCAAATTTTATGAGATATCTATTTTGTGTCAACTATTAATTTAGCTGCTGGATATAGAGCAATGACCAAAAGTAAAATTCCCTGATCTAGTGGAGCATATATTTTAGACAATAAAATAATCAACAACAATAACAAAATATGTGTACATATACACACTATGAGTTGTGGTAGGTCCTTTATAGAAAAAAAATAGGCCACTGCAATAGTAAAGAGGATATCAATTTTTGATAGAGAAGTTATTTGTCAGAGACCTGACTAAAATAAGAAAAAGAAAAACAAGTGATAAAGCAAAAATACATAAAGATATGTGAGGTATTGAATGCTGAGTCATGAAAAAAATTCTACCCATCAAAATAACTTGTTAAAGCCAAGTTTATTAACCTACTACGGTAAAGGAGAGATTCAGAATATGGAGTATCTCACATTAATGAGATTTCGAAGGGCAGGACAGAGGTTGTGACTACAAATCTAAGAGTGAGCCCAGCTGAGAGTAGCTGAACTTCCCAGCAAAACCATAGTCAATCGCCAACACTCAGAATCAAGAGCCAATTATATTGTTATTGTTTCAGATTTGGAGGTGCTCATTATGTAGTATTAGACAGGTAATACAAACAAGAACTTGAAAAGATTAGTTACTGATGACTAAATAAATTAAATTGTGCTATAGATACAGCCATTTTCTTCAGCATTTTATCAGTTTTTCTGACTTAATATTCAGCAATATTACATAGCATATACTGAGCAATTGATCCAATAAGATTTCCAAATCATGTCATGGTATTTCCACATAACCACCCTCTTTGCAACTCTTCATGGGTAGATTTTAATCTTCGTTTCATTTCATTTAGCAGTATATCAAAGTAACTTTGAAAGATCCCAATTAAACAAAAAAAATCCAAATTAAGGGTAATCAAAATACAATATATGTGTTTATATAATTGTAAAATTTAATGTTCATAAAAATATTGTTTTTAAATATAAACCTTGTATGGAATCTTCCTACAAACTCAAGAATATATTTAAAATATGTTGCTATGAAAATTATCAACAAAACAGCAATCTAAATGACTTGATCTCAAAATCAATATTAAGAAGATTGCAGACATGCCATTTTCATTATATTTAACTTTATACGTTGATTAGAAGTTTCAGTTTCCTGTGTAATTCACATGACTTGGAAGCAATCCAGTACTCAGGCAGGAACGTTAAGAACTATATAAGAATATAGAACCAGAAAGCAAGAATATGAGCTAAATTTGTTCAGTACCTGTTTGGAATTTTGTTTATGAGTTTCTTAAATATTATTCAAGAGTTACAATTCAATGTCGACTACCATATTTGTCAATTCAATGTATAGAAATTAATTAAATAGCAATGAGAAATAAACATATGACTAGAAGAAGGGACAGAAAACGCTATTGAGATTTTGAAGATGATAACTATGTATAAGCTAATTAAAGCACTAAGATTCTTCTTTGGAAGGCAGGATGATAATAGATTCAATTGAAGAAAAAATAGAAGTGAGAAAACTAGGTCAATGGCAGATTTTCCATCTGTCCCATTCTAAGAGATTTTGATTAATTACACACTTTCTTCTTCCCATTTTTTCTCTTATTCTTCTATAGATTTCTCCTTTTGGCCTTTTAATATGTTTTCTTTTTTTAAAATTTTTTAAAACATGTGATGGGCCTCCAAAAATTATAAAAATAATCAACTAAAATTGAAAAAGGCAAGTTAGCAAAAGAACCAGCTCTATTTACTAAGCTCCTACTCTATGTTTCAAGAAAGGTACTGGTCACTGCAGGGGGGTAACAGGCCTAGTTCCTATGCTTAAGAAAAACCTAGCAAAGGTTGGTAACAGTGAGACTACCTTTTATATGTTTACTTACCCACTAAAATTTTATTAGCTAAAACACCAAAAAATGAAAACGTTATTTAATGTTTTTTTCATTGATTTCAAGGACACAAATGCAAAATTAAAAGTGAAATGGAAAAAAAAATGATGTGGTTAGAGGTATATTTGATGGTTTAGGAAAAGATTGCTATTTATAAAAGGAATAAAGCTGTATTAAGAACATGTATGAGCAATAGATATGCAATATGATGAAGTAAAAATAGAGGGTAAAAGAGATAACTGGAATTTCAAAATTCATGCAACTGCCTAAGTGATATGTAGCCGTTCTGTGGGTGATCCTGTATGGGAATTACTTGTAGGTGTTAATGTAAGGCTTGGAAAAGCACACAGAAAGCACATGCCTGAGGCTCACTGATAGAAATCAATGAAAATGTTTGTTTAGTAAGAGAACTATATAAGTGACAATTTTCCCTAAGAACCCAGGACTACAAATACGTTAACAATATTCCATAAAACAATTATGTGTTGAGTGTAAGAGAAAAATGAATGTAGCAAACAGATACTTTGAGAAGGGGGAGAAAGGGAACATCTTAGAATGTTCCTCTGTTTTCTCATTTCATAGAGGCCCTCAAATTAGTGGCTAAAATATTTATTAATTAAGTAGTGTATTACGTGTGTAAAATTTTATATTGCTGGATAACTTAGTTATTTATGAATTATCTAAGCAGTTTATGTCCATCTTCACTAAGATGCCCAGGTTTGTTGGTTTATCTAAGTAGATTTACCACCAGGAGAGAGAGAGAGAGAGAGAGAGAGGAGAGAGAGAGCAGAAAGGAAAAGAGAGCAGAGGAGAGGGGAGGAGAGGAGAGGAGAGGATATTTCTACATATTACTCAGGATGGATGCAGTATTTTTTTTTTAGTATTATGTAATATCATTTTATGTGTTTAAATTCCTTTGAGAACTCTCAGTTTTGCTTTAAACTTTTCTAAATATATTTCATGTACATTTTTTTCTTCAAAATTATTCCTAGGTAATATTTGTTGTAATCACTTTTTAGAGAATAAAAATATGTCTAGATGTAAAATTAAACGTATAAAGACTCTACTTTCTGTTTCAGATAAAAGCAGTTAACTTTTTGTATATTTTCTAAGATTAACAAGGTTTGTTAATATTTCAAGAGAATTAGATTACTAAAATTAAAATAAATAAACTGTTTGTATTGCCCAATAATTCCTATGCTGACATACACTCCTTTCCTCTAAAACTTTTACTTTCTCACCAGTGAAGTTAACCCATTTATGCCTGAGGTAGCAATTTTTTTAATTTTTGCAATCAGACCTTGGCAATGGCCTTAAGCAGTAGGATATAAATAACTCCCACATACATAGCGTTCCAATAATGGAACACTAGACATAAATGGGTTAAGAGCTTTTGAATGCCTGTGGTATCATTAGGGTCTAAAAAGACTATTTTTAATTCACTGACCTTTAAAATTTGAGAAGGGGTCCCAATACTATTGTGTCGTAGAAATACCTGTGATATAGTGCTATAATTGTATTCTGATATTATAATGAGTAACATTTTTATATGATGTGGTCTAGTGCCCAAAAGGGTATAACAAAACTTAGAATAGATTTATCCTAGGAGAACCTGGGTTTTGTAGGAAGAAATGTACAGAAGAAAATAATATGTCCACCAAGTGGTGGAAACAAAAATATTTAAGAGCCAATGCAGGACTGTGATCCCATTTTTCTTTTTGCGAATCATATCACCATGCTATAAACCCTCCTGTGGCAGTAAATATGTACTATTCCTAAAATATTTTTGTAAAAAGCTTTGAAGTCTTGCTGGCATTATGGTTTCTGTAGTCACATAGGTTGTAAAACATCCAACTCTAACCTAGACTATCTGTTTTGTTTGTGTGTTTGTGTGTGTGTGTGTGTGTGTGTGTTTCTGGAAACAGAAGGACAGATACTTCTGAACTGAGGATTAATGGTCATTTAATCTTCATTTCTGTGGTTTTCTGAAACATTCATTCATTCATTTATCAATAAAAAATTTCTGCTGATCTTCCAAATGTCAATCACACTGTAAATTCACTTGCATGACATGAACTGAAGGACACTAGGGGGAAAATATCCATTAATTTATTTAATAAAGCTCCTAGCAGAGTATAAAGGAACAGGTAGAAGTATATATATATAATTAATTCAAAAGTAAAGGTGATTATCTGAAGCCTAAATAAAATTAGGCAAGAAAAAAAATAAGTTGTGGGCTAACTAAAATTAAAGCATGCCTGTGATAATAAGAGCATCATATAATAAATGCTATGATTTATCTGAAATTTCATTGTGTTTATGTCTTTCTAATGTCAAGTATAAATGTCTTTAATTATCTCTAGAAAGCTTCAAATTATGGTCATATTTTGTACATACACAGTTGTTTTTATTAACTACCACATAGTCTTTACTATCATACCTTACATTTGCTTTTTCCTTTGGGCCTACTGTTTTACAAATATTACCTACCTTTAATATTCTAACTCATCTCCCAGCTATAGCTCCAAACATTTTATGTCTTTCTATTTTGAAATATTTCAGCAATTAAGTTTGTGCTCAGTGATTTAATAAAATTATCTACTGCCTTGGTTTTTCCAAAACTGTTTCCTTGTTTGTTTGAAAGTACTTGGGAAAGAAGTCTGGCAAAATCTGTTCTACTCCCTTTGCCATTTCTTACAAGCTGTTGACCTTGGATGACTTTTAAAGCTAGCTTAATCTGCATTCACTGCTCTACTGACAGGTTAATGCTGTGAGAAGTTTAGTGATTCTTAAAGCTACCAAGCCAGCCATTACTTGCATTTTTGTAGAATGTTCAGCTTTTTCTGAAGATATTCATATGTTACTAAGATTTTCTTTTTCATCGTGAAATAGCTTGTTACTGATTACTTCAATGCATATCATGCTGGGAAACATCACATATGACCCAACATGAATTTCACATTAAAACTTACATTGCTTCCCATATGACAACTTTGTATGAGTCAGTGCTCACTAAAGAACCACATGTTGTAGCAGAATATATTAAAGTGCATTTGATTTTTTTTTTTGAGATGAGTAGTTAGACATATGGGTCTGGAGTTTAGAGGAAACATCTGAACTAAAGATATAAATGCTAATTATCTGAGTATGGTTTTTATTGAAGGCCTGCTAGTAAATGAGATTACACATGCAGGAAAAGAATAAACAGTGAAAAGACAGGGCCTAAGACTGAGCTGGAAGAACTTCACTTTTGTATAACCATGATTCTTCAAAATGAAATGGAAAAGGAGTGACCAGAAAGTCTAAAGAAAAGCAGGACAATGAGTGACAGCATCCAAGGGAAGAGGTAAACCCACAATTCAAACATTCTCATTTAATTATCATCTTCCTTTCTTATGCCACTTTACTAATAACTTCAATAAATTTAAGTAAAATTAAAACAACATTGAAAAAAGCGTTAATATATTATATTATATTTTATAAAATTCACCTATAGTAATATATTTAGGAATTTAAAAACAGATGTTTATTCCTCACGTGTGTGTGTTTGTACATTTGTGTATATGTGTTTGCAGTTTTTACCTAATTTGTGTGCATATTAGTGTTTTTTTTCCCTATAATATCTCCCAACAAAATGTTGAATAAATGACTTACGTGCAGGCTAGTAGAGATACCATATAGGTATGCTCACTTTGTGAAAGAGTGTAGAGGGGAACTTCTATAAAGGATTATATGCACATAAAAATCCAACAGATATGCCAAAGAAAAATGGCATCTCTATCTTGATTCACAATGATACATGGAATTTAAAAGGAACAGAGAAGGCATTAGTAACTACTCAAAAGTTCATGCAAAAATTCAAAGACATGTAATACTGCCAAGAAGCCAAGAACCATGACTGAGGAAATTGAACCCCATAGTTAGAAGATACCAACTATAATAAATGAGGAGAAGAACAGTAGTGTGAAACTGAACAAGGGTACATTGTGAACTTTGTATTTTCTGATAAAACAGGAACATACAGAGAAAGGCAGTATATAGAAAAAATATTAAAAAATCATTGTTAAAGTACTTTCTGGGTTGTAGAAATCACTAAAAGTACAGTGAAAGATAGATAGAAATCTTATGTATCAGATGTAGAAAGAGATCTTTGAAAATCAACTGTATAACTCACAGCTACTACAATCCTGGTCCAATTGTACTGGCATCAGTTTTCTGCACTAACATAAACCCCTTGTGATTGAGTTGATGAGATTTGCTACTTTCTTTTTCAGGTGGCTCTCAAGTCCCACACTTAAAAGTAATTTGTAAGCCTCTTAATACCACCTTGCTCGGGGTCCTGTCTGCAGAGATAAAAAGGAGTAAAAGGTGATGAGGATGAACAGATATTCTTACTTCTTCTTTAGAAGACTTTCCTGCCCTTTTTCAAAATTGACTGCACAATATTAACAAGTTTATATTTTTATACCTTTTCTTCATGCCTTCATCAGCTGTACAGTTTATGCCTTTGCTCACCTCTGGATAGGTATGCGTTTAACTTGCTTTGTTTAATATTCTTCTCTAAGTCATATAGCTTGAGAACTTTGAATTACAGCATTGTCCTATAACACGTACAGCACCTTTGGGGTTGGGCTGCTTATTATTTAATGTAGGCTTCATCAGAACTTTTTTACTGGGCTTATTCTATTCATGATGAAATTATTGAATGGATTGGACTTGGCAGCCTGTAATCCAGAACGTGTTTTTATTTCTTTATATCAGTGGCTTTAGAATATGCTGTCAGATCTCCCTTTCCTACAGTAAGGCACTATTTCATGAAAATTCTAGAACTTTTTAAATTCACTTTTGAATATTAAAAATGTTTCTTTTTCTTTTGAAAACAGTTTTTATAATTATATTTCTTATTCAATTTAATACTTTTTTTTCCTTCTCTCACAAGCTCAGGTAGGCCTGACCAACATTTGGCAGATGACAGTGTAGAAAGTTACATAGATAGTAAATACAAATGGTAAAGCTGGTGATATCTTAGTATAGCTTCTGGAATCCCTTTCTGGCAAAGTTTAATGTTTCCTCAAAATATTGGTATTTTGCAGATGAATGACTTCTAATATTGCACTCTTCCCTAACAGATGATGGTGTGTTGTTTGATTCCCTCTTCAAATCATGCATCCAATGAGATATCCAGTGGATAAGGGTAGCTCTTATTGTTGGAGCTACCCTTGCCTGGGATTGCAGAGCTCTTGACCAAGTTCCCTTTAAGATAACTCTCCAACCCAGCTCCTTACTGTGTACATATATAACGCAGCCAAAATCTAGAAGTTCATGTTGATCTCAGTTCTAACATCAGAGACAGATGCAACTATCTTTTTACCTGTAAATTTTCACTGAAGGGCACTAGATACAAGTCCCTGGGCTGTTTAAAGACCAAAAGACATATATAATGACTGAGTAGATGTCATGAAGTCAGTTGACTTGAAATGGTAAAGGTCCAGATGGGTGGAAGTAGCACAGGACACACACAGCTTTCTTCAGATAATTCTCTATCAATCCTCTCTGAAAATTTGTCTCCTGCTTTCCGCTTTGTACCATTAGGAGTGGGAATGAGCTAAATTTTCCTTCCTTCAGAAACACCTCTATTTGAAATTTGAGTGAAACTTGTCACCTATTATCCCCAGGTTTCCATTCTCATCTAAATTGAGAAAATAGAAAGTTTTTTTAACATCCCATTATATATTAAAGAATCATTTCTTTAACCATTTAAATGAGGAAAAGGTGATGATGATGAAAATGTTAGTTATTAAAAAACATAATGTATAGACTCTTATGATTGAATAAAAAGAATGGTGTAGAGCTAAACCAAATGAAGGAATTATTGTTTGGAGGCAAAATTCACTGATTTCATTATTGAAAGATCACCTGAATATTCAGGGGAACAGCTCATTTTAATTTGTTTGTCTTAATAAAAATGCTTCATGAACTAAAATGAAGAAAAACAGGAAATATATTTCTAAATTTCAATATATAATTTAATATTTGAGCTCAATATTTGATATTAATGTATTTTTTAACAAATAGTCTTTATTAAATGAAACTGGTATACATATTGTTTAAATATTTGTTATTAATATCATTACTCTTCTTAGTGGAATTTAAAAATTATAATATCCTGAAAACTATGTAAAACAGCGACTGCAATTAGAATATTCTTTGTATGGTGGAAAGTAATGTGCTCTTTTAAAGAGACCGGAGGACATTATCATTAAACAACCAGGGAAACAGTATCAGATACTGTACTTCTGATATCTAATAACATTCACAGTTGATATTGTCGAAGTTGCATCAAATCATTTCATTATACTGCAAAAGCTGTTCAGGAAAGATCTAAATATGTCATGTTTTATGCTTTGTACAACTATATCTTTAGTAGCTATAGGCACTGGGTAGAGAGAGCTCCATTTTAACTTTAAATCTAGATTAGCCAATTTAGAGTAGAAAATAGAAATTTTGATCAACAAACATGTCAATATCGGAAGTGAAATTTAAAAAAAAACATGGGGGTAAACTAAACTAGTACAGACTAAATGTTGTCTAATAAAAATAATGCACACATAGAAAAAAAGATAAATATACCTCAAGAAAAAATCTTGGAATCATTCTTTATTACAAGGGTTAAATTTAAAAAAAAAAAATCCAGGCTGCCTTTCAGAGTTTCAGGCAATTTCCATTAGGCTTAATTTTCAAGCATGGTGTCGGGGGCAGGGAACAAAAATATTTAAACATTGGAAATTTTAAAGTGCTAGTTTTGATTTGACAATTACTTTTTACATCTATTTTATGTGGATAAGACAATTCAATCTTTTATTGGTTATAAAGAAGACATTTGACTTGATGAGCTCAGAGTATCTCCATCTTTGTTGTTTTAGTTCTCTCATTATACAGCCTTACTCATGATAAGATTGCTAAGTCCTCTCAAAGTGTTAATTCCCTGATAATTGATAGGTAACAGTACTCTCATTACTTTAACTTTTCGAGAGATGTGTTTACTGCAAAGAATATTCTTGCCTGATATATTCTTAGTTGAAAATTAGGCTGTTGGCCTTAAATTTCTTGTATACATCCTTTGCTAATGTGCTAATCTGGGAAACAATGTGAGTTCCCAGTAATGATTTTCACCATTTATCCAAATAGCTTAATAAAGACAGGCTTAAGAAGCTTGCTTCACTCTATGAACCTGGCTCTTGGCCTTACTTTGATTTTAATTGACCTTTCAAAGTTTGGAGAAGAGAATGGCCTTCCAAATGAAACTCTGCATCCCAAGATAGACATACGATAGAGAAAGAACTATGAGACAAACAGATATCTCGGTTTTTACAAACCATTTTTGTTAATTAAAACTCCAGTACCTAGTACAATGAACTAGCTTCATTTCACAGATGACATTATTTTATTGCTTATCCATAGCAAGTCTTTCCCTAGAGATGAAACAGGGAAGGGGATCTGTAAGCTATATTTAAAGCACAGATTGCTAAACTTTGGAACAGCATACCTTTCTAAGGATCTGATGAAAAACCCATAAGCATTCTCTCTAGAGAAAATCACAAATACATATGTCTGTGCAGGAGACTACTTACTACTCAACAACAAAAAGGAAGGAATTGCTGTTATGGCAATACAAATAAACTTCAAAAACATTATCTAGAGTAAAAGAAACTAGAAATAAAAAAACATGATTTTACTTATATGCAACTTGGCAAAACTAAGCTACAATGATGGAACATAGATACAATGTTTACCAGAGGTTAGGCATTCAGATGACTACAAAGAAATACAAAAAGCTATCTGGAGTGTTGAACATGTTCTATATGTTGACAGTAGTTGTAATTACAGAGGTACTTTTATTGGTTAAACCTCATTTTAATTTATAAAAGTTAAACTTCAGTAAATTTACTTTTAAAAAGTCACATACAGGCCAGGCACAGTGGCTCGTGCCTGTAATCCCAGCATTTTGGAAGGTTGAGGTGGGAGAACTGCTTGAGCCCAGGAGTCTGAGACCATCCTGGGCAACATAGTGAGACTCCATCTCTACAGAAAAAAAAAAAATAGCCATATGTGGTGGTGGGTGCCTGTGGTCCCAGCTACTTGGGAGGCTGAGGTCAGGGGAATTGCTTAAGCTCGAGAGCTCTAGGCTAAAATGAGCCATGATTGTGCCACTGCACTACAGGTTAGGCAACAGAGTGAGACCCTGTTGAGAGAGAGAGAGAGAAGTAACATACCCACAGATTCAGGTGGTCCACAGACTGGATGAAGTCCTTCTTTGTATCTCTTAAATATCTTTGAATCCAAGTCTGTATAATAAAATATGTAGTACAAAGTACATAATAAAAAAATTGGATTAGATTATGAAAGGCCACAGTACCTTAGTATTTTCTCTGAAAGAGTGAGGAAGCATGTATGTTTTACAAAAAATCAAACAGTACACAAAATTTTAGTGTTCATTGCTTGTATAGCCTTGAGCCCAAATAAAGATAATTCTGAAGTTAGCTCTAAAAATTATCATAACTTATAATGAGAAACAGATCCTTTGCATATATTTTCGAATATTCTGATAAATTCCAGAAAATAGGTATTACATGTGTGCATGCACACACACACAACACACACACACACATTTAACATAAATAAAAGCAGGGAGAAAACAGAAGGATCTAATTATGAAGTATTGGAGTTGACGGGAATTATCCAGATTCTCTATTTTGCTCTGGAAACAGATGATGCCCTCTGTTGTTCAGGGAACAAAAGAGTGCAGGTATAGAGTGTGGGCTTGAGGAAAGGGATACAGGTTTGCAGTAGCTGCTTAGGGAAATAAGAAGGAAATGATGTAAAACAAACAAAAGAAAGGTCTGCAGAGTGGCACAGACTATCCAGCTAAAACTGGAATCCAGAGATCTCTCCCATTGTGCTCCATAGTCTTGGAGGGAAGAAGAGCTACAGATGAATTAAGATGGGAGGGAGGGGCTTGAAGGTCGATGTCTGAAGCACTAGACATCATTGCTTGTGGGAGTGGAATCAATGCTACTGACCTTGGGATACATGCTGAAAAGGAAAGAAAGAGACCCTGGGCAGAAAAAGTTGATAAACTAAAGGAAAAGGAGGTAGTTCAAGGCACAGGTGTTCAATCTGTGCTATACTTTGGAAGGCAAAAAAGTGAGTAGGTTAGAGTCCTGGAGAAAGAAGATGCTACAGGAAAGGGTGGTATATTTGGCCTTTAAAATCTTAGCAGTACAGTAATGTGCTTTCTGAAATCTGGGCTTTATTATCTTCTAAGACTGAAAGTGAGACTGTGCTTTCAATTGAAACAGAAACAGAATTGGTGGAAGTGACCTACTTACTAACTCAACAGACACAGATGTAAAACTTAGTAGGAAAAAAAATTACTTAAAAAATTTGCTTTATCAAGATTAGGAACAGAACATAAGAGATAGGAGAAGTGAGGGGAGCAAGAAAGACCAAAGAGAGAAGAAAGATAAGTCATTTTGTTGTTTATTTTTTTCCTGAGACATCTAGTTTACAATCTCTTTGTCATGTCTATTCTAAATTCTAACTACATCTATCTATCTATCTATCTATCTATCTATCTATCTATCTATCTATCTATCTATCTATCATCTTACAGTGTAAGGAACATGGGCCTTCTCCCAATTGTCTGATTATTTCGGTCTTAACGCAAGGTTAGATTCACTGTCCAAAGCCATGTTCTGGTCCTGACACAGGGATTTTCTCAGTGAAAATTCCTAGCAGATTCCCCACCAGTCTGTCATCCAGGAGTGAAGCTGTATTACTTTTAAAAACCAAAAAGAATCTGCTCATCTTTAGCACTGACCCACCCTTCTCAGGTTTCTCTCATGAACACCAGGATTGACTACAGAAAAGAATAAGAAAACAGAATACAGGTACTTCTTCATGGCCAGATTCCTGGGGGCTCAGGGACTTTATTTTTGCATTGTGCAAATTACATTCCTCAAATAAAATTCTATTATGGATGTAAATGTCTAGTTCAAAGGTTTTTTATTCTAGTAATTTAAAAAGTAAATCATTAATTAAATACATTAAAAGTATAAAATGTGAGTATGCATATTTATATCATATCTATCTATCTATCTATCATATATCTATCTGTCTAGTAAACATGAGTAAATTCTAAAGTAAATTAACTATTTTGGACTTCCAAAGAGATGTAGTCATTTTACGTTGCAATAAGCTATATGAAAAAAGGTGGTCCTGAACAATACTCCTAATGAATAGGAGAGGCAGAGCCAATGGCTTTTGAAGGTGATTTCTCCCAGGCTATTTCCTGAAAATCAGGAGAATTCTTTTACATATGTATATATATAATGTGTATATATACATATATATGTATATATATAAGTATATATATGTGTATATATATGTATATATGTGTATATATACTTATATATGTATATAAGTATATATATGTGTATATATATGTATATATATATGTGTATATATATGTGTGTATATATATATGTGTATATATGTGTGTGTATATATATATATAAAGTATATGTGTATATACTTTAAGTTCTGGGGTACATGTGCAGAGCGTGCAGGTCTGTTATGTAAGTATACACGTGCCATGGTGGTTTGCTGCACCTATCAACCCATCACCTACATTAGGTATTTCTCTTAATGCTCTCCCTCCCCTATCCCCCCATCCCCTGACAGGGCCCAGTGTATGATGTTCCCCTCCCTGTGTCCATGTGTTCTTATTGTTCAACTCATTGTTCAACATTTGTGAGAACATGTGCTGTTTGGTTTTCTGTTCTCGTGTTAGTTTACTGAGAATGATGGTTTCCAGCTTCATCTATGTCCCCGCAAAGGACATGAACTCATCCTTTTTTATGGCTGCATAGTATTCCGTGGTGTATATGTGCCACATTTTCTTTATCCAGTCTGTCATTGAGGTACATTTGGGTTGGTTCCAAGTCTTTGCTATTGTGAATAGTGCTGCAATAAACATATGTGTGCATGTGTCTTTGCAGTAGAATTATTTATAATCCTTTGGATATATACCCAGTAATGGGATTGCTGGGTCAAGTGATATTTCTAGTTCTAGATCCTTGAGGAATCGCCACACTGTCTTCTACAATGGTTGAACTAATTTACACTTCCACCAACAGATGCATTCCTATTTCTCCACATCCTCCCCAACATCTGTTGTTTCCTGACTTTTTAATGATTGCTGTTCTCACTGGCATGAGATGGTATCTCATTGTGGTTTTGATTTGCATTTCTCTAATGACCAGCAAGAATAGAAATCATAACAGTCTACAGGAGAATTCTAAAGATACAGTATTATCAAGGAAAGAGACAAAGCTTAAGTGTGAGGTTAGCTCTCCAAAGGGTCATATAGTCTAACTTAGGATCCAGGAACAGACATACCTGTAGGATCCAGGTAGATCCAACTCTATCTGAGGGAAGGAGCATGGGCTGGCTAAAAGGGTCAGTGGCAAATTGGAAAGTATTAAATAATTTAAATTAGCAGTTACTATTCCCTTTAACTCATTACTGATATGTGAAAAGGTGAATATTCCCAAATAATTTAATAATTTCAGAGGGGTTACAATTAAGATTTTTAGGTTAAATCTCTAAATATGTTCATTATATAACGGAATTTAAAAGTGTAAACTATACTGTTTGAGCCAGAAAACAGTCTGCAGGCAAGATGGAGCTTAAGGGTGTCTGGTTTGTACTCTCTGGTCTGAAGACAAAACTGTTTAGTTAGTAATCTGAAAGCTCAGGACCTTCCCCTGGATGTCTCTGGCCTAATATGTAATGTCATACAATAAGTTCAAGGTTCTTTGCCTTTATTTACTTAACAGAAAAATATTGGTGATATCTGAGAGCTTACATTTTAGGATTGTTATAAGGGCCAAATAAGATAATGGAGAATTGGATCTGAAATGTTCAAAATGCTACTGAAAAATACTTTTATTAATTACAATGGTGATTTATGAATCATGACAAAGATCTATAACTGATGAACAAATAATATATTTTTTCTGGGTTGTCACCTCTGTTTTCAGTCTAGAGAATTGTTTTTTGTACTGTCTTCATAAGAAACTATTATCACTTTAAAGTGTGTAAAATATCACTGGGCCAACACAATTTATCACTTGGCCAGACTCATAGGAAGTTGGTTGACGTGTTAATTTAACAAGTGTTATTTCAGCTGTAAAATTTTGAGTGGTTGCCTGGTCCCTTGAGATCTGAGGTAATCATGATATGATTAATACCCTAGTGGTTCTCTTCCAGTATGAATTGTAACTGAACTGAATTTTTAGAAAATATCTTAATCACACAATAGTGCTATTAAATGAGTGCTTATGGATTTAGAAATGAAAGATGTTTTAACAATTTAAATATTAGACTATAGAGAGGGGGTAAAATTAGCACCAGTTAAGATGAATGTTACAAAAACTGACTGGGTTGTTCAATGGTTCTCATGGACAGCTGTAAAGATCAGCCACTGTGTCCAAAGGGATGTATTAAGCTTGAGCGTGGTTTGGGAATTTGTCAATATCAAAGAGGTGAACTTTCATAAGCAGGTTCTAGCTGCTCTGTAGAAGTTTGTAGATAATCCTCAGGAAGGCTCAGTTCCGTGGAAAGCATCATTTATACATGACTGCAACTTGTACATCCAGTGGCATGAATGGGAGACTCTAGAAGCCGTATCGATGAGCATCTGGAGCTACATCAATTCAGTGATTTCATTGGTCATATATATTTTGTTTTTAAATTATATATAATTTAATAATATCAAAGATACATGTAATGAAGATACAGCTGGATAAGTTTTGGAAAATACCACCCATGTAAACCCACACATGAATTAAATGTGTACTGAACATTCCAACACTCTAGTAAGTAATCTCATGCCCCTTTTACGCACATCCCTATCCTGAGAGGCAACTACTCTTCTAGTTCTATAACCATAGATCCTTTTGTTTGTTATAAAATTTTATCCAAATAGAATCATACCTTACACAATTTTCTCGTATCTAGCTTGTTTTGCGCAATATGTTAACATTCATCCAGGTTGTTTAGCATATCAGTATTCCTTTCTATTGCTCTATCTCTCTCATTATTTTTCTCATTCTCTCTTGATTAGCCTAAGGTTTTATCAAAATAAAAATTTCAAATATTGGCTTTACTAATTTTTTATTGTTTGTCCATATTCTATTATTTCCTATCATTTATTATTTCTTCTATTTATTTTGGGTAAAATTCACAATTTTGCTGGCTTTTAGTTTAATTCTCAGGTTTATTAAAGTATACAGAAAAAGAAAAATAAAATTGTATCTATTTATTTGTAAAATGTGATGTTTTGACAAATATATACAATGTAAAATGAATGAATCAAGCTAATTTACATATCTATCACCTCACATACTTATTTTTTCATAGTAAGACATTTTAGTATCTACTCTCTTTGCAATTTTCAAGCGTACAATATATTATTGTTAACTGTAGGCACCATGCTGTTCAATAGATTCCCAGAACTTATTCATCTTAACTGAGACTTTGTACATTTTGACCAATATCACCCTCTTTCCATCTCCTTTCCTACCTACTGGTAAACATCATTCCACTTTCTATTTCTATGTTGAGTTCACTTTTTTAGATTGCACATATAAGTGACATCATGGATTATTTGTCTTTGTGTGCCTGGCTTAGTTCTCTTAGCAACATATATTCCAGGATCATGCATGTTGTTGCAAATGACAGAATTTCCTTTTCTTCAGGCTGAATAATATGTCATTGTATATATGCATTTTATACACACACACACACACACACACACACACACACATACACACTTTATCCATGCATCTGTTGATGGACCCTCAGGTTGATTCTATATCTTGGCTATTGGAAAAAATGCTATGATTAATATGGAAGTGGAGATACTTCGTTGACATACTAACTTCCGTTTCTTTGGACACATACCAGAAGTGGGATTGTTGCATCATATGGTAGTTCTATTTTTTATTTTTTAAGAACCACCATCTCTTTTCCAAAATGGAAATGTACTAATATACATTCCCGCCAATACTGCACGAGGGCTCCCTTTATGCCACATTCTCACCAACACTTGCTGTGTTTTGTCTTCTTTTTGTATTTATAAATGTTTTAGTTTTAATTGAACAAAATATCCATATATAACATTTAAAACATTGTTTTAAAATATGTATACATTGCAAAATGACTAAATAAAGCTAATTAATGTATGTATTACTTCATATACTTATCATCTTTTGTGGTATTTTGTCTTTTTGATATAGCTATTCTAAAAGATATCAAAGAATATCTCATTGTGGTTTTAATTTGCTTCTACCTGATGGTTAGTGATGTTGAGCAATTTGTGGATAATTGTTGGCCATTTGTATAGCTTCTATTAAAAAATGTTTACACTAACCATTTGCTCATTTTTTGAATTATTTGAATTATTTATAGGTTTTGGATATTAACCTTTTATGGGGTGTATGATTTGAAATATTTTATCTCATTCTATAGGTTTTCTCTTCACTATGTCTTCTTTTTTGTGCAGAAGCTTTTTAGCTTGTTGTAACCTTAAGCTTGTAGCAAATGAAGCTTATCTATTTTTATTGCTGCTGTCTGTGCTTATAATATCCAATTTGTTTCTTTCCCAGACCCATGTCAAGAAACATTTTCCCTATGTTTTCTTTTAGTAGTTTACAGTTACATGTCTTATATTTAAGTGTTTAATCCATTTTAGTTCATATTTGTATATGAGGTGCGATAAAGTTCTCATTTCATTATTTTGCAAGTGGATAAGTTTTTCCAACATTATTTACTCAAAGACTGTTCTTTCCACATTTTGTGTTGGCACATTTGTTGAAGATCAATTGACTGTAAATTTACAGATTTATGTCCCTGTTCTGTATTATTTTCCATTGGTTTATGTGTCTTCTTTTATGCCATTGTCATGGTCTTTTGATTACTATAGTTTTGTAGTATATTTTGAAATCAAGTAATGTGATGCCTTCAGCTTTGTTCTATTTTGCTCAGGATTTCTTTGGCTATTCAGAGTCTTTTGTGGTTCCTTGAAAATTTTAGGATTGTTTTTACTATTTCTATAAAAAAAGTCATTGGAATTTTTATAGGGATTGCACTGAATCTGTAAATTGCTTTGGGTATCACGGATACTTTAATAATATTAATTTTCCAAACCATGAACATGGGATATATATTCACTTATTTTGTCTTCAATTTCCTTTATCAGTTTTATAAATTTCAGTGTACAGATTTCTTACCTCCTTATGTAAATTAATTCCTAAGTATTTTAATTTTTAAGGCTATTCTAAATGAGATAATTTTATTAACTTCTTTTTTACAGAGGTTTTTGTTAGTGTATAGAAATGTTCCTAATTTTTGTATCTTGATTTTGTATTCTATGAATCTCCCTGAATTTATATATTAGTTCTAACAGTTATTTGTTCAATTATTTAGCATTTTCAATTTAAAAGATCATGTCATCTGCAAACAATTTTACTTCTTCTTTCCAATTTAGATACCTTTTATTTGTCCTGCTTAATTGCTCTGGCTAGGACTTCCAGTGCTATATTGAGTAGAAGTAACAAGAGTGGCATACTTGTCATGTTCCTGTTGAGGACAATGTTAGCTTGTGTGCTTGTCCTATATAGCCTTTATTATGTTGAGATACATTATTTCTGTAATTTGTGAGAGTTGTTTTTTGATTATGAATTGAAGTATTTTTTAAATGCTTTTTCTGCCTCTATTGAGATAATCTTTTGATTTTTATCCTTTTTCAGTTAATATGGTATATCACATTGATTTGCATATGTTGAACCATCCTTACATATCAGAAGTATATGCCACTTGATTACAGTGTACGATCTTTTCAATATGATGTTCAATTTGGTTTGTCAATACTTTGTTGAGAATGTTTACACCTGTGTTTACTGGGGATATGGGCCTATAATTTTCTTTTCTTGTAGGCTCCTTCTCTTGCTTTGGTCAGAATAATGCTGGTCTCATAAGAATTTGAAAGTGTTCTCTCCCTTCAGATTTTATGGATAAATTTGAGAAGTATTATTATTCGTTTTTCTTTAAATGACTGGTAGAATTCACCAATGAAGCCATCATGTTTTGGGCTTTATATTTTGGAAGGTTTTTGATTACTGATTCAATCTCTTTATTCATTATGATCTGTTCAGGCTTCCTATTTCTTTATGATTTAGTCTTAATTGGTTGGATGCTCCTATAAATTTACCCATTTCTTCTAAGCTCTCTATCCAACTTTTGGCATGTAATTTTCCATATTATTCTCTTCTGATGGTTGAATTTCTGTGGTATCAGAAGCTTAATGTCTCTGTTTCATTGATAATTTTATTTTAGCTTTTTCTATTTTTTCCCTTTGGTAGTTCAGTTAAAAGTATGTCAGTTTTATCTTTTCAAAAAACCAGCTTTTTCTAAATGATCTTTTTATTGTTTTGTAGTTTTTCTTTCACGTATTCCTCCTCTGGTTTGTGTTTTTTGCTTTATTCTGCTGCATTTTGGCTTGGTTTGTTCTTTTGCTACTTGATTGAGGTGTTGAGTTGTTTATTTGAGACACCGTTTTCTTAATCTAGGTATTTATAAATGTGAAATTTCGTCTGTGTTTGCTGCATCCTGTATGTTTTGGTATGTTGTGTTTTCATTTTCATTCATCTCAAGAAGATATATCTTGTTTTCCCTTTAGAATTTTTCTTGAGCCATTAGGTATTTAGAAGTTTTTGTTTGATTTCCACATATTTCTAAATTTTCCAAGTTTTCTTCTCTTATTGACACGGTTTCATACTATTGGGATCACAAAAAAAACTTGATATAATTTAAAACTTTAAAAAAATTGTTAAGACTAGTTTTGTGGCCTAACATATAATCTCTGCTGGAGAATGTCCTGTGTATGCTTAAAAAGAATGTGTATTCTGCTGCTGTTGGATGAAATGTTACATATATGTCTTTTAGGTCCTTTTGTTTTATACAGTTGTTCAAGTCTGTTTTCTATTGATTTTCTGTCTGATCTATTCATTGTTAAAAGTGTGGAGCTGAAATCGCCTACTCTTATTGCATTATAATATTTGCTTTATATATCCATATATTTTGATGTTGAACAAATACATATTTACATTGCTTTTTTTTATACAAGTTTCATTTGGTTAGTTTTAGAAATGAGGTTTTACTCTGTTTCCAGGGTTGGACTTGAACCTCTGGGTTCAAGCCATCCTCCTGCCTCAGCCTTCCCAGTAGCTGGGACTACAGGCATGTGCCACCATGCCAAACAACACACCTTTTTCCTCTTGATATATTGACTTATTTATCATTATTTAATGGCTTTCTTTGTGTCTGTTGACAGCTTCTTACTTGTAGTATATTTTGTTTAAGTATAGCCACCCCAACTCTATTTTTTTTTTTTACCATTTTAATGGAATAACTTTTGCCATCCCTTCACTGACAGCCTGTGTCCTTAAAGCTAAAAAGTCAGTGTCTTCTAAATATTATATAGGTGGATCTTGTTTTTTATCTGTTAATTCACTCTACATCTTTTAATTGATTGGATAATTTAATTTATTCACATATAAAGCAACTATTGGTAGGTAAGGACTCACTACTGCCATTTTGTTAATTCTTTTCTGACTGTTAATGTAATCACTTTGTTTCATTCTTCCTTTTTCATTTTATAATTTTTTGTGACAATGCAAAAGAAGGGAATCAAAATTTCTTTTTATCTTTTGCATATCTACTACAGTATTTTTTTATTTGTGGTTGCCATGAGGCGTTTATAAAATATTTTACAGTTATAACAATCTATTTTAAGCTGCTTACATTTAACTTTCACTATATGCAGAAACTCCACACTTTAACTTATTTTTGCCCCAGATTTAAAAATATTGATATCATATTTTACATATTTTTAAATCATGTATCTATTGTTACTATAGTTATAATTATTTTTATCTTTGCCCTTTAACTTTTATACTAAAGTATTTTGTCTTTTAACTTTCATGCTAGAGTTGAAAGTGATTAATGCACCACCCTTACAATATTAGAATATTACAAGTGCTTTTCTACTTACAATGAGTTTATATAGATGTAACCATATCCTAAGTCATGCACTATCTGTATTCTTACCTTTACAGTTTCATACTTTCATATGTTTTCATTTTGCTTTTTAGTGACCTCTTATTTCAACATCAATAACTCCCTTTAGAGTTTATTCTAAGACAGATGTAGTGGTGATAAACTCCCACAGCTTTTGTTTGTCTGGAAAAGTCCTTATCTCTCCTTCATTTCTGCAATATACTCCTGACAGTTATATTCTTACTTGACAGGTTTCTTTTTCAGTACTTTGAATATATTATTCCACTCTTCCCTGCCCTGCAGGTTTCTGATGAAAAGTCCACTGATATTCTATGAATAGTTTCTTGTGTGTAATGTTTTGCTTTTCTCTTGCTGCTTTCAAAATCCTCTTTGTCCTTGAATTATGTAATTTTTATTATAATGTGTCTGTATTAGCCCATTATTGCATTTCCATAAAGAAATAGTTGAGATTGGGCAATTTATAAAGAAAAGAGGTTTAATTGGCTCACAGTTCTGCAGGCTGTACAGGAAACATTGTGCCAATATCCACTTGGCTTCTAGAGAGACCTCAGAAAGTTTTCAGTCATGGTTGAAGGCAAAGGGGGAGCCAGCCCATCACATGGCAGAGTGGTATGAAGAAAAAGATAGATGCCACACACTTTGAAACAACCAGATTGCATGATGACTCACTCACTATCATGAGGAGAGCACCATGCCATTCATGAGGGATCTGCCCTCGTGACCCAAACACCTCCAACCAGGCCCTACTAACATTGTGGATAACATTTCAACATCAGATTTGGAGATACACTCATCCAAACTATTTCAGAGTCTCAGTGAAAATCTCTTTATATTTAGTCAAATCAGCTTTTGAAGCTCTCTATGGAAGTTTTCAGTTCAGTCATCCTGTTCTTTAGCTTAAAATTTTTTGTTTGGTTTTATTTTATAGTTCCTTTTTCTTTACCTTCTCGTTTTGCTAATATATTGTTTTCTTGATTTCATTTAGTTATCTATTAGTCATCTCTTGTTGCTCACAGGGCTTCTTTAAGATGATTATTTTGAATTCTTTATCAGGCAATTTGTAAATCTCCATTCCTTTAGGGTTGCTCACTTGTGCCTTCTTTTGTTCTTTGGTGGTTTCATGTTTTCCTGATTATTTGTAATCCTTGTGCCCATGCATTCATGTCTGCACATTAGAAGAAACAGACATTCACTCTAGCCTCTACAGACTGGATGTGTCAGGTAAAACCTTCCAAAAGTCAACCTGTCCACACATTCTGGGTAGATTATCTGGTGAGGTTCATAGGCAGACTTGCCACTAGAGTTCTCAGGCAGACTGGCTTGATGCCTTGGTAAGCAGTTGGGCAGGCCTGTAGCCTGAGTTCATAGAGGCCAGCCTGGGGCTTGGAAATGTGAGGTTGGGCCTGGAAACTGGGTCCCCTGTGGAGGTCCTGAAGCTTGGGTCCTGAGTTCACAGTAGCTGGCATGGAGCCTGGGTCTGTGGGAAGCAGCCTAGTTATGGGGACTACTAGGGGCCCCAGACCTTGAGTTTGCTAGAGTGGGCCTGGAACCCTGGGTCCTCTGGGACTAGAGCTATGGGAAATAACCTGGAGCCCAGAGAAGGCCTGATGTTGGGGTTAGCCTGGAGCCTGGGTCTGTGGGCGCTTGTCTAGAATTTGGGAGTGGGGAGCTGACCTGTTACCTGGAGCTGTGGGGGCAAGCCTGAGGTATGGGTCCACAAGGGCTGACCTGAGGATGTATCTGTAGGTACTGGTCTGCAGGCTAGGTCTCTAGGGGGCTGGCCTGGAGCCTGGGGAAACCAAGGCTGGCCTGTTTTTGAGTAGACCTGAAGGCTGGTTCTGCTGGGGTGAACCTGGGTCCCAACTGCAAGGACAAGCCAGCCTAATATGTAGCGGTGATCCTGGAACCTAGGTCCATGGAGATTGGTCTGGTGTCAGCGGGGGCAGGCCTTGACACCGGGTCTGCTAGAGAGGGCCTAGACCCTGTGTCTGCTAGATCGTAGACTCACAGGGGCCAATCTGGTACTAGGCTGGTCTGGTGCCTGTATCTGTGGGGCCCAGCCCTGATGTTTGGTACACATATGCTGAGTGGTTATTTAGGTCATTGGCAGCCAGACTGGAGCTGAAGTCTGTGAATACCATACAATAGTCTGGGGTTGAAGGGGGATTGGCTGGCACTGGAGCAAGCCTGAAGCCTATGACCACAGGTAGTAGTATGGATCTTGAATCTGCAGGCTTGTCCTGGAGTCAGGGGCTGGAGCTACCTGCCTGGAACCTGGATTCATGGATAGCAGCCTAAATATGCGGTCTATGGGTCCTGTACTGGAGTCTGGAGCTGTGAGAGCTGGCCTGGTGATGGGGTGGATCTGGAATATGGGTCTTCTTGTGCTGACCTGAAGTCTGTGACTGTGGGAGCCAGTGTGGAGCCTCAAATTTTGGTCATTAGCCTAGGGCTTAAGGAACTAGCCTGCATCTGGGGTGGATCTCAAAACCTGGGACCATGGGTACTTGCCTGGAGACTGGAGCTGCAGCAGCTTCCTTGGAGCTCAGTCTCTGTGTGACAGCCTAGTGCTTGGGATGGCCAGGAGGCAAGGTCCACTGGTACTGGCCTTGAATTTGGAGCTTCAGATGCCAGGCAGGTGCTAGGGCTGAACTGGAGCCATGGTGGGCCTTGACCCGAATCTGCAGAGACTGAACCTGTGGCCTAGGGCCAGGCTAATTCTATGGTGGGCCTGAAAACTGGGGCTGTCGAGGAATAACCTTGCACTGGGTTTCACTAAGGCATGTCTGGTCCAGGGGTCTGTGGCAAAAAAGAGGTGCTCACTTCACTGTCTTTCCTCCAGATGGAGAATATCTCTGTGCTGTGGTGCTCTGACTTTGCAGAGGGAGTGACAAGGGTAATGTGAAATTTTCCCTCATACTTTCCTTAATCTGTCTTTTCCTTTTTTCTGTGCTATACTCACATACTGTAATCCATTACCTGAATTTCTGAGATATTATGAAGGCATTTTCATGTGTGGATAGTTGTTCAAGTTGATGTTTCTGCCAGGGGAAAAATGCTGGAAAGTCTATTATGCCATTTTGCTGATGTTACCCTTTCAGAAGCCTTACTTACTTCTTAGGATGTAATCCTAAGTCAATGATTTTAAAACTTTATGTATTTATAATATAACAAATTCAATCCATATCCACATCTTTTCCTCTAAGACTACTTTGGCTACATGTTACAGATTTTAATGTGCTGTGTTTTCATCATTATTCAACTTGAAATATTTTGTAATTTCTCTTATGATTTCTTCTTGTACATGAGTTATTTAGAAGTTTTTTTTTAAATTTTCCAATATTTGGAAATTCTACGGGTATAGTTCTATTAATTTCTAGCTTAATGCTGTTGATTACTTAGTCTGTTATAGAAGAATAAAACAGAGAAATGAATAAATCAAAGAAAAGTCCTAGCCTTCAAGCAATTTATATGCTAATAGGGGAGGTAGACAAAAAATTACATCAATTAATAAAATGTGTATCATATTTTGTATCAATTAATTTTGAGGGGGAAAAATTAAATAGATAAGGGGGCTAAAAGTCATCATATATGAGAGGTTGCAATTTAGTTTATATATCTTTGACCTAAATTGCTTATTACTACAAAATACAGGGACAGATTATTTCTATATGAACACCCACTGTCCTACTTTTCAGAAGTTATTAACTCCTTACATTGCTCACCAAGCATTTCATAGATTCTTCAGCTCAGTGCCCCAGGTGTGCATATGCTGAGGTTCCTCAGGATCCTGCCCAATATCCATGCTCTGTTATTTTTCTGCTGACCTGGCTAATGAATCTGACTGAAACAGTTGCAATACCTACTGTCTTGCTCAGAGCTGCCAACAATCCAAAATGGGGACCATCTATTCATTTTCTGATAGTAATGTTGCTCTCAAAGCTGGTTATTGGGTTATAACTACTGAAATGATTCCAGGTTTCTCATATCTTAGAATTCTCATGCCTTTGAGTTCTATGTCTACTGAATCACTGTTTCACAGAGAGAACTGGTATTTTATCCACTCTAATTCATGGCAACCTCATTGCATGCCTAAAATAACTGAAATAAATAAACAACTATTTACTTGATCAGAAATATCAACCCCTTCTCTCAGCTGCAAGAGTGGTTCCTCCCATTAGGGTTCAGATAATGCAATCTGATGTTACTGATGTTGCTGAAGCCATAGACATGCATGTTAATCCATGGTCATTTTTCTAAAGCTTGAATTATACAACTTCCTGCACATTGATGGTTTCCAAGCCCCTCATACCTTAAATATAATTCATTATCAGTCTACAGTATTATCTCTGCTAGGCAGAGATAGATTCTCTTTAATTGGCATCTGGGGCTATGCTCTTAACTCTGGAGAAAGCTGAGATTTCTCTAGCTTTCCTGACGTTGGTTCATTCAGTGGGTGAATATTAGCAACCAAACAAATTAGTGAATTCTCCTCAATTCTCAATTCAGTAAGTACATCAACTATTTTGGCTAAAGAATAAAATATTATGATGCCAACATTAAGAGAAACATATATTTCTGATTTCCAAGAGGTCACAAAATCCGTTGTGGGCAAGGAACAGGAAAGAGGAAAGAGCCAGGATGGTGTCCCCTATGTGTGTGTATGTATGCATGCATATGGGTTTGTGTGTAAATATGTATCTTCCATTCAAACGCATTTTGAGTTTGCGTGACAATTTTACTTCCTTTGAACTCCAAACAACTTTCTTCCTACTATCCCAAAGAATACTTGTAGCTGGGGTAGATATGACTTTTAGCATTTTGTGAAAATAAATCATTTCTAAAGAATATTGTTTTAGTTCAATTTTCATCTCTTTTTACAGGCAGTTGTTTAATGAAGCTAAATTATTTCCTATTTCAGTGGATATGTATGTGCTACAGCTGCATATTAATATCTTTGAGGCATTTATTTTTCTGCACTACAATGCTGGAAAAGATTTTGGCTACTGAAGGGCAAACTATTTCTAATTTTTTAAAAGTTTTTTACTCTATAGTACCTTCCTGTCCTGTGTTCCATTATTAACTACAGTAGAAGTGATGTAAAAGATATTTTTGCTTCACCTTTGTATGGTACCATTTGTCAAATCCTAAGAAAATTCCAAGGGTTTCCTTTCTTTTCGATACAGAACTAAGAATGAGTTAGAACCTAGTGTAAAAATAGTGTATAGACCACTCTGTCTACATGTGTCTGTTTCAAAATTTATAGTTTCCTTAGTTATTATACATTTCATTTTTGTGCTCTCCTTTGCTTCTATATGGCTGGGGGAGTCAGAAGACCATAAGCTCCATCTGTTTGTATCTGCTCAATACCTTTTTTTTAAAAATCAGCATCTCCATGACAATATTCTTTTGATAGACTTTGTGTGTGAGTCTTTTTATTCCTATTAGCAAATTCATGATTGATGTTTAAAGGGGGAGGGATGGAACAGTAATAACAGTGCCCAGTCCCAAAAGTAGAATGATAATTTATCCAATCCAGCCAGGGGAAGGAACCTTCTTCTTCTGTTCCAGTATGTGACAAGTATATGACCCACATCTGATCAATGAAATGTATAAAACAGTCTGCTGGGCTAAGCAAAGTATAGGATATAGGAACTTTTTTTGTCACTAATAAAAAAAAAGCACAAAAAGATGTTTGTTCTTTGGACTCATCAACTTTTTTCCCTGCTTGGTGCCCTATTCTATGAGGATGTAATGCTTCACACTGCAACTATCATTGGGGTAGATATGACTAAAATGTTGAATAAAGAGGAAGACCTTTGGAATTTGAGGATAGAATAAAATAAAATATCCAATCCTGGTTTTGAACTTTTCCAAATTTCTTGTATTTAAGAAAGAGTAAAACTGTTTATATTAAGATCCTATTAGTAAAATATTTTATAGAAAAAAATCTTAATAGAAACAGATACCAAAAGTCAGGCCAAGGTTAGCTTAATAATAAAAATTTTATGAAACACTTATATTTGCATATTACCTTTTCATCTCCATTTGCTTGGGGCTAGAGGACTTGGCATTTTATACCATTGCAATAATGAGCTTTCATATTAGGAGCGTTTTTGGAAAAAGTAGCAGATATTTACTTGGTTCATCTTTGGAAGTTAGAATACCTCCAAACTTGTTAAAAAAATCTGTGCCAGGTAGTCTATGCAGTCAAGGTCTATACAGTCAAAACAATAGCTCTATATTGAAGTTCTGCGTTTGGATTCAAAGCACAGCTTGGTTCAACAATGCTCTGTTAAGTATTTTAAAAATTATCTATCTATCCATCCATCTATCTAATCTATCTGCCCATCCATTGGAAGCAACCTCAGTACTTAGGGTTGGTTGTGCCATTCCAGTTTTCGAGTATAATTCCTGGGTCTCTTGGATAAATATAATCCTAACCCCTATGTCTGTTTAATAACAAGTGGAGTTATACCATTCATAAGCCATATAAATAGGACATATGCAGCTTCATGAGACAAATTAAAAATACCCATAAGCATTGCAGCCCACACTCACAATTTTTTTAAATTACATTTTAAAGTCACTATTATTCTGTCCAACAGTATGTCAATCTCTTTCTAAGGAGGAACTTTCTACTCCTATATCTGTCTGTGACCATTTGAATGCTTTAAAATAATTATGGAGTAGTACTGAGAGATTAATGGGGATCTTGAATTTTGACAGATGTATTCAATTTGGAGTCCCTGAAGAAATGCTAAAGATATTTAAGCAGAATGAAAATGATAATAAAAAATTGAGGTAAATAAAATGGAAGCAGATTCGGTCAAGAGCTACCTTGTCTACTGTGGAATATGCTGAAGTCAAGAAGTGAATTGGGCAGAGATATCTAAAGTGGCAATACCTAAGATATTAGTTTCTTTCCCATAAGATGAAGTTTCTAGACATTTAATATAAAATGTGTATGTATGTAAAGTGATGAAATTTATTTTGTAAACATATTCTTAACAAAAACTGAACTTTGATGACATATTTTAATACAAAATGTTATTGCGGTGTTTTCACATAACACTAATCCAGCAGGTGATTACTTAGAAGTGTAACTTGTTCATTGATAATCTATCCAAATAACATAAAGTTATCATCAATACTATAACACACTATATCAATGTTTAATATCGAAATTAAAAGATACTGTAGTGGGTGATGTGTTCATTTTTTCTCCAATCATCACAAGTGATTTCTTGTCAATTTCTGAAGTACGTTTAATTTAAATCTATGTATTTCTCAGAGAAAGCACAAGCATTATGAATGCCTTAGGAGACTGACTCAGTCCCATTTTGAGCGAGATTTATGCTTAAATTGGGAAAAAAATTGTTTTCCTTGAATTTGTAGCCTTTAGGATCTTAGGTTAATTGGAGCTTTCTGTCATGTTCTACAAGCCCCATCTGAGAAAAATCCTGAGTTACCCTGGATGAAACTCATTCTGAAATTGCCTTGGGACTAAAATAAGAGGTCAGTTTTTTCTTGCTCCTGGAACTAGGGAGAAAACACACAAGAAACAGCAGCCGGGGCCAGGCGCGGTGGCTCACGCCTGTAATCCTAGCACTTTGGGAGGCCGAGGCTGGCGGATCACGAGGTCAGGAGATCAAGACCATCCTGGCTAACATGGTGAAACCCCATCTCTACTAAAAATACAAAATATTAGCCGGGCGTGGTGGCCGGCGCCTGTAGTCCCAGCTCTTGGGAGGCTGAGGCGGGAGAATGGCGTGAACCCGGGAGGCGGAGCTTGCCGTAAGCCGAGACAGCGCTACTGCACTCCAGCCTGGGCGACAGAGCAAGACTCAGTCTCAAAAAAAAAAAAAAAAAAAAAAAAAAAAATAGAAACGAAACAGCAGTCGGAGTTATTGTCCTCCTGAGTATCTCTGCTTTTTGTGAAGTGATGTTTGGACAGTAATCTGTCCTGGACAGTCCTCCATAATCAAGCCCAGTTGTATTCCTTTATGGAATATATTCACCAAAACAATGTATATACTTAAAATGTATTATTTCTCTTACACTTGAACTTAAAATAATTAGTATAATATTGGAAAGGAAAAATAAATAAAATATTTTAGAACTATTTTCCTTATATAATAAATGCTTTCAAGTTGAAATAATTTAGTTGTAAAAGATTTAGTTTGGCATACATTAGGAAAAGTAGAAAGATATTAGTTTTTAATTATCTAAATTAGCATTCTGTGATTCATTAAGCAAATACATTTTTTATCTCCTCTATTTCCAGTATGCAACAGTCACTCGAAATAAGTTTTAATATACAGAGAGACTATTTCGGTTTTATTTTTCCAATGTAAATATTATTATTAACAAATTAAGCATTCCAAAAGCTACTATAGCTAAACCTATTGTTTACTTGATGTAATTCTGTTTGGCTCTTATGGTTGAAGAATTGTAAATGGAAGTAGGATTTAAACATCAACTCCTAACTTCACTTGGCTGAGAAAGGAATTAAATTGGTCTGGAGTAATGCTGATAATCTGATATCTTTGACCTTTCCACATATCCTGCTTGGAAGGAGGAGGAAGAAATATTGGAACAGGTAATAGAAACTGGCATATTATGACATTTAGTGTCTAAGCGAAAAACTATATTTAAAAAGTTTGCTTGTAATTATAAGTAAAATAACTCATTATGATATCTCTTATTGTTTCCAAATAAATGAATGCTTTGTGTCCAACGTATCATCTGATTAGATTTGGTGACTTGTCTTGCTTTGTAAGTTGTAATACACTATACAAATAATAAGTAACACTCTTTGGCATTTTGCCATCACCACAGTTACCCTCTGCCCACCATACACAACAAGCCAAAATCAATTTATCTGCCAAGGAAGAACATCATAAACTTATAGCTCTATGCACCACAGATGTAGATACCCAATCAGATGAGGAAGAAGATGATGGAGTAGAGGACTAAATCTGAGCGAAAGTGAGCCCTAAAATAGGAAAGCCTATGTTGGTGAATGAGTCTGCCTCATGCATGGAATCTAGGGTTACAGATATCTGTTGGTTTTTTTGTCTATCCAGTAGCTGTCTTTCTTTCTTCTCATAATAGAACTCCTTTTCATTTTGAAAACTCATTTGGGGAGATTTGAAATTGTGTTATTATAAACATGGTGCCTTATGACAGCAATAAATATATAGGCCGGAACAACAGGCTATTCCATTTACTTTATCTTCCTAGCTAAAAATAATTGGCTCAGAAAAGGGCATATGACCCAAGCTAAGCCAGCAGAGTCTTCTGTATAACTTTACTGCTGTACTTCTCAGAAAGATGGTCTCTTTTTATTGAGATTTGAAACTGGCAGAATGTGTGTTTGGGTTTGGATGTGACCATCTTTCCAGTGATAGGGAGAGCAATTCTATCTGGACGCTCCCCGAACATGGTATTATAAATATTTTCTGAACCCTTAAGAAGTTCAAATAATATCTGTCACTAAGGAAGCTATGCTTTGCCAATGCTTTTTGTCTCTTTCTCTGATAAATGATTAATGAATATCATTAATTATTTGATGAAATGTAAAATGAGATTATCTCAGCTCAATTTTTTTCATATTTAGTAAATTCTAGTAAACCAATTATTTGAGCAAAATTTCCCTACTATAGTAAAAGGAGCTTCAATCAATTTCTTCAAAGATATAGAAACATAGAACACCAGCATATTACCAGGATACTTTTCCAAGAATTTCGCTTTCGTATTAACATATATATTTGAAAGACTAATATCTGAATTAATGAGCAAAAATAGATACCACATCTTTTATATGGTATTGAATAAGTTATTACTCTAGTTTTCAGCTTCTTAATTATAAATTTCAGATTATGATTGTTTTGACCTCATTCAAATATTAAAGAAAATGATATATATAAGGTGGTTAGCATCCTGTCTAAGGTATAAAGTACTCAATAAACATTACACTATATAATCTCTTATTCCCTCTTCTTCTTCCCTTTATAAGCCAGCACCATCATTTTCAAGAAAAATATTGCATTTATAGACCATGAAGTATAAAATAGCATCAAGTCTGTCACATGCATTTGCTTGAGCATCATTGTACTTATTCACCATTTTCCCCACTATATTTTCTATGACATTCTTGAAACTATCAGTTTGGGAAGGACACTTCTGGGAACATACGGGAGAAAGAAGATTGAGAAGCTGATTTTTCTCATGCATCATAACACAATGGAAAATTTTCTTACGAATAGTGATGTTGATGGCAGAGGACACAAAGCTCAGCTGACTATACACTCTAATCTTAAATAGTTTAGGGTACTCTAAGCTACCAAATTCAAGAAGACTAGGGTTTACATAAAAGAAGTGGTGTATGTATGTGTGTGTGAGCGTGTGTGTGTGTGTGTGTGTGTGTGTGTGTGTAGTTTGTTGGAATGGGAAAGTAATCCAAACAGAATTATTTTAAGTATTGCAGATTTTATAATGTTACCTCTTTAACATTGGATAACGTCTTATGACAGCATTGCAATGACCAGTGCCTGTTTTAAATCTATCTTTATGCCAGGTATTGTGAAAATGAGCACTGACAATAGAAGAGTTGCAAAATAATTCTGCAATATTGACTCAGAGTATCACAAATCCAAAGGTACAGGGTAAGGAAATTAAAAACCTAAGAACAGGTACAGTGTTATGGAGTATGCATGGTTTTTAATTTTGTATTTTTTATTTTACTACTTAACTACTAATAACTTGACCTTTCTGCTTCCTCGTCTTATACGCAGCTTCTTCTTTTCTTTCTTTCTTTTTTTCTTCTTTCATCTCTTCAAACTTCACTCTTCTTTTTTTCTCCTACCTAATTAATTACTATCATGTTTATTCCATAGTTTAAACTTTCTAGAAAAAAAATTAGGGAACCAGGTAAATTGTATCGTTTAAAGTAAAAACACACTGCATAGACTGAAATTCTACATAGTTTATTTGTTTTACTTTAGTTTTAAATTTTATTTATAGATTGTGTAAAATTGATCATGAATAACAAAAATGTATATGTGAAAATAAATATGATAGCTTATATCCTATAACTCAGTTGCTCAATTGGCACATTAGATTAAGAAAATAATAGTGGAAATGTCACTCACTCATAATCCATTTATGAGAAAAAAGAAACAAAATTTTATTTCTTAGACATTTGGTGGAAATCAATTGTGTGTGTGTGCATGTGTGTGTGTGCGTTGACTGAAGAGAGAGATTTATTTTAATAAGTTGAAACAGATGATTACACGATACACTTCAAGCTGGCACACTGAGACTAAGGGGAGAGTTGATGTTGCAGTCTAGACTCTATAAAGACCATCTGGAAGAAATATTTCTTCTTCCTTGAGAATTTCCTCATTTTTTTTTTTATTAAGGCATTCAACTGATTGGATGAAACCCACCCATCTTGTAAAGGTTGATTTTCTCTACTCAAAGTCTAGTGATTTAAATGCAAATCACATCTACCAAAATACCCTCACAGCAAAATCCATCCTGGAGCTTGACCAAACATCTGTGTACCACAGCCTAGCCTAGTTGACTCATAAATTAAAGTAGCACAAATTCAACCCTTCCCCATCTGGCACCCATACACATATCTTTAAACCATACTTAATCTTCAAAAAAGAAAAAAGATAACAACAAGTTCATACTTCCATCTAACATGATAATATGATATATTTATTTGAAAATACACTAACCCTTTCCCCAGAAGAAGACACAGAGATCTCGGGGGATGTCGACTCTTCTTGATATCTTGTAACATATATACTATAATTCTAAGTTCCCAATACTTAAATACCATGATATAAAATCGATACATTTTGTGTTATATGTTGAGAGTAAGAAGGGGCAGAAAATAAACAAATTTGACATGCAGGCATATTCAAACAAAATAAAAAAGAAATACTCATAACAGCCCTTAGTTCTGTAATTTGTCGTGTGCTCATAGCTGACATTTATACTGACCTTCTTTCACTCCCCACTCTGTATTTCCTTTACCCTTAAGAAGCCCCCCACTTAGTCATGGTTCCTTACCTGTAGAGGTAACCCAAATCTTCATTCTTGAAGGATATGGGCCATTAGTATTATTGCTTGAACTAGGTTGTTGTAGTTTTCCATTAACTTTCTTCAAAGGGCATGGGAATAATAAGAAAAACAGTAATTAATATCCTGTATTCTAAACATTCTCTTCCTTACCTTTGTTGAGGAGAACTGGACCAGTTTCCCTTTGGTAGTCAGGATCAATCACCCCTGTTAGCACAGCAACTCCCTTCTTTGTCTGATGGTTCAGAGCCATAAGGAGCCAGTAGTGGTCAGGTGGCAGTCCTAACCTCCAGTTCAATGGAATCATTTTGTCTTCTGGGGAAACTCATTTTGAAAGTAAGAATTTTAGACTAGAGAGTAAGGTAGCAGGGACAGGAAGCAAATATTTTATTAAGGAATCACAGTAGGTAACAGTGAATACTGCTACTTCCACTCCACTGCCTGAATCCTGGACCTGTAAATCCTGCCTGTGGGAGAAGCAGTACAATATACTGCACACTGATTTAGGGGATATACAGCTCTTGGAAATTCTTGACTCATAAGTATTGGATTAGTAGCATCCAATGGTGATATTTTGCATATTTCTATTACCACATAACACCATAGACTGTCAGTGCTTTCTTTACGACTAAACATTGAGTTATTGGTGCCTTTAAATCTAATCAGATTAGAGAACCAATAAAGGATATTCAATTAGGAAAAGAGGAAGTCAAATTGTCCCTGTTTGCAGATGACATGATTGCATATCTAGAAAATCCCATCGTCTCAGCCCAAAATCTCCTTAGGCTGATAGGCAACTTCAGCAAAGTCTCAGGATACAAAATCAATATGCAAAAATCACAAGCATTCTTGTACACCAGTAACAGACAAACAGAGAGCCAAATCATGAGTGAACTTCCATTCACAATTGCTTCCAAGAGAATAAAATACCTAGGAATCCAACTTACAAGGGATGTGAAGGACCTCTTCAAGGAGAACTACAAACCACTGCTCAATGAAATAAAAGAGGATACAAACAAATGGAAGAACATTCCATGCTCATGGATGGGAAGAATCAATATTGTGAAAATGGCCATATGGCCCAAGGTAATTTATAGATTCAATGCCATCCCCATTAAGCTACCAATGACTTTCTTCACGGAATTGGAAAAAACTACTTTAAAGTTCATATGGAATCAAAAAAGAGCCTGCCTTGCCAAGTCAATCCTAAGCCAAAAGAACAAAGCTGGAGGAATCATGCTACCTGACTTCAAACTATAATACAAGGCTACAGTAACCAAAACAGCATGCTACTGGTACCAAAACAGAGATATAGACCAATGGGACAGAACAGAGCCCTCAGAAATAATGCCACATATCCACAACTATCTGATCTTTGACAAACCTGACAAAAACAAGCAATGGGGAAAGGATTCCCTATTTAATAAATGGTGCTGGGAAAACTGGCTAGCCATATGTAGAAAGCTGAAACTGGATCCCTTCCTTATACCTTATACAAAAATTAATTCAGAAACTGGATCCCTTCCTTACACCTTATACAAAAATTAATTCAAGATGGATTAAAAACTTAAATGTTAGACCTCAAACCATAAAAGCCCTAGAAGGAAAACTAGGCAATACCATTCAGGACATAGGCATGGGCAAGGACTTCATGTCTAAAACACCAAAAGCAATGGCAACAAAAGCCAAAATTGACAAATGGGATCTAATTAAACTAAAGAGCTTCTGCACAGCAAAAGAAACTACCATCAGAGTGAACAGGCAACCTATAAAATGGGAGAAAATTTTTGCAATCTACTCATCTGACAAAGGGCTAATATCCAGAATCTACAATGAACTCAAACAAATTTACAGGAAAAAAACAAACAACCCCATCAAAAAGTGGGCAAAGGATATGAACAGACACTTCTCAAAAGAAGACATTTATGCAGCCAAAAGACACATGAAAAAATGCTCATCATCACTGGCCATCAGAGAAATGCAAATCAAAACCACAATGAGATACCATCTCACACCAGTTAGAATGGCAATCATTAAAAAGTCAGGAAACAATGGGTGCTGGAGAAGATGTGGAGAAAGAGGAACACTTTTACACTGTTGGTGGGACTGTAAACTAGTTCAACCACTGTGGAAGTCAGTGTGGCAATTCCTCAGGGATCTAGAACTAGAAATACCATTTGACCCAGCCATCCCATTACTGGGTATATACCCAAAGGATTATAAATCATGCTGCTATAAAGACACATGCACACGTATGTTTATTGCGGCACTGTTCACAATAGCAAAGACTTGGAACCAACCCAAATGTCCAACAATGATAGACTGGATTAAGAAAATGTGGCACATATACACCATGGAATACTATGCAGCCTTAAAAAATGATGAATTCATGTCCTTTGTAGGGACATGGATGAAGCTGGAAACCATCATTCTCAGCAAACTATCGCAAGGACAAAAAACCAAACACCGCATGTTCTCACTCATAGGTGGGAATTAAACAATGAGAACACATGGACACAGGCAGGGGAACATCACACACCGGGGCCTGTTGTGGGGTTGGGTGGGGGAGGGATACCATTAGGAGATATACCTAATGTTAAATGACCAGTTAATGGGTGCAGCCCACCAACATGGCACATGTATACATATGTAACAAACCTGCACGTTGTGCACATGTACCATAAAACTTAAAGTATAATAATAATAAAAAAGAAACCCCACAACAAATTCAGAAAACTCATCCTTAAGATTCTGATTCTCTAAAACTACTCTTGCTACAAAAGTCTGTTAGTCAGGGTTCTCCAGAAAAACAGAACCAATAATCATGTGTGTGTGCGTGTGTGTGTGTGTGTTAGTACACAAAGTGAGACAAAGATTTATTCATGTTAACTAATTGGCTCATAGTTTGATCTAATAATGGATGATCTAGTGTACCAGAAAAAGAGCCAGAGAAAGACTACTTTTGAACCTTGTTTCAAGGTGTCTTGTCTGCTAATTTTAACTAGCAATACAGCAATTAAATTATAAGAATTAATCCTTGGGTTCATATGTCTCAAGGATTCATCTAGTCAATAAGAATTGGAAATAACTGGAAAGCTAAAAATCTCAAACTCAGTTTCCATAGACACCTTTCAGATGGTCCATGTAGCTTTACTGCTTACTTGAATTCTTAGAGAAAGTGTCCACTCAACAAGGCCAGGACAAAATTTTATATATGTTACAATTTCATTTATCTAAATCTTGTTTGCTTTCCTTTTGGCTGGACATTTTATCTTTACTGGTTGCAGTTTACATATAGTTGACTTAGTCTATCATCTCCATTTGCCAATAATAAAGTTTTGTTTATTTCAAGACTTCCTAGAGGAAATAATTACCATACATTTGGTATTGAGTTTTTCCAGTTATTAATGCAGCCAATTTGCAAGTTTGTCAAATATGTCATCCCTTGCCAAATCCTGGGAAAATGCACATAATTGTTGTACCTGAAATTAATGCTACTAAACTGAATTTTGATCATTGATATTCTAATAAATAGCCTTATCTAATATCAGAAATTATATCTATTAATAGACATTTAGAAGAGCATTGATATAACTAAGGTAACTTTTATAATCATATTCAAAATGATCATGTGCATTGTTCCATTCTCCACTGATACTTCTCATATATCATTTGTATATCCATGTTCTTTTTAGTAATAATTCAAATCAAATAAAACTAAAAATGAGTGAACATTTAAAACCATAGGTTATTTCAATAATTGGAAAATATCTATATTTCTAGTGTACTAAAATTCATTTTTTACTACAGCCCCCAAAGATAATATACAGTTCCATTAAGTTTTATGGATCGCTTCTCCTATGGCTTTGTTTTATTTTCCTACTCAGGAATCAGATTCTTCTATGTTTACCACAGCCTAATTTTTCAGTGGGGATATTGGTCAGACAGCTCCAAGCTTATAAAATACTCACAATAAATATTTACTCTTTAAAAAGCAGATGAAGGAACAATACTTTTCCTACAGGTATATATACTAACTAATGTAAATATGATTTTTAAGTATTTTAATACCACCAACATGATTTGGAGTAATTTGGCTGGCATAAAAAATGTCTCTTATTTTATCTGACATAAAACACTATACATCCTGAACCCTGGAAACACAATAAGTTTTTTAGCCTAATAAGTTACAGATAATGAATTAACTTTAAATTTTCTTTTGGCACACTGGGAAGGTGGGGCTTTGCATCACTGTTCATTAACACTGTATGTTATACCCATATTAACGCAATAGTTATATTGTAACAATTTATATCTAAGCTCAAAGAAAAGGCAAGTTGTCTATGTAGATGTACTTTGGAAGACTTTGGGACTTCTTTACTTATTCAGGCCTGGGAAATTTTTGCCATGTTGCAAGAATATTGCCCAGTGCTTTCTTATTATCCTTCTAGTAATAATTGTTTGTCTCACATTAGTTCAATGTCTATGAATCAGAATTCTAAGGTTTACCACAGAGTCATATCCTGACTGTAAAAAAAAAATTAAAAGATAACAGATAGACTGTAATATTTCTGATGAACTCTCAAACACAAAGTTGGATCCTTGCACATAAAACCTTATTGTAAAGGAGGCATGACATTGGTGAAAGTCTTTACAACCCTTGATGTTATTCTTGCGGCTTATGTTAATTGAAAAGCAAAAAAGGATCTGATAATTTTAAAATCGTAGTTCTAACACTCAAAGAAAAAAACAATTATTTTGTAGCTATGGTAACAAGTATCACCAGACTGCTTTTAACTTCATGGAATTGATCAACTAAAACTAGTCTCAGTAAAAACGCTTTGCAAGCCAAACAATCAGTATCAACTTCTCATTTCTGAATGTCAGCCAATCAGGAACATACCCACTCCAGTGCACATACTTCTGAGTGTTAATCAGTTAGCAGCAGGTCTCACACAAGTAACCATAGTTTTATAGATGATGTCAATCCATTTACATC
The DNA here is from genome assembly GCF_000001405.40 of Homo sapiens. Lineage (NCBI taxonomy): Eukaryota > Metazoa > Chordata > Mammalia > Primates > Hominidae > Homo > Homo sapiens. Next base: position 215,447 of record NW_009646200.1, on the reverse strand, counting down.
TTTAAAAGTTGGCCAACCCTTATACTTTTATTAATTCCAAAGTAATATGAGCAGTCTGTTCGGCTTGGAGAGACTATACCTGATCATCCCGGCTGTCTCTTAAAAGTAAGTTCGAATTTTATATTTTAATTTTACTTTTTTTATAAAGTAAAATGATTTAATTATTCTTTGAAATTAGGAAAAAAAAACTGGGTATTGTGTACCCAAATATGCACCCAGGATCCTTTATCCAAGACAAATAACTTTTTTAGTAGTTTCTTTATTACTAAAACGGTGTTGAATGAGATATTGAGATATTTTTTAAGTTTTATTAGCATTCAACATTCTGAATGCTTACACATGCATATGCCATTGAGTTTCATTGTAATGAATAATTTAAGAATCAGTAAAGTTGTATAATTTGCATATTATATAAATTCTTAGATGAGTCATGTTTGTAGTTCAATTTACAGATTGATATTAAAGGAAAGGGGCAAGCATGAAGGAGAGAATATTGATTGACTACATTTATGAAAATTATTCTGGTAAGCATTTAATTTCCAAATTATTTAATAGCTTACTTTCAGGAAATACAAGGTGATACTATCATACAAATAATCTCACAAGCATTATAAAAGGAATCTGAAAACTTTATTTGCATGATACAATCTCTTTTGATATATCAGATAACTTGCAAGAGAGCTAAAGTAGTTCATTATACTGATTTGAATCTAAGTCTCCACCTTGGTGAAATGAAATGAAAATACTTAAAAGTTAATTGGAGATTGAATGGGAATACATATTTGCCTACACATGAAATACCTACTTTTTACATTCTCAAGATGTGTATATATACATTTAATTTTATCTTTTTAGTTTATTTGCTTTTATACATTCTTTACATAGATCATTCATCCAAATGCCATGTTTATTTATTCACTTTATTATATGCTTACACAAATAGAGTGTGTTTGATGAAGCAACTTCATTGAAATAAATTATCCCTAAAATGTGTATCCCACGTATCTCTCTCAGGACATGGTTGGCAGTTTGGTTTAGCCAAATAAGACTTTCTGTTTTATTTTAAAGAACAATATGATATCCCAACATTCAGATCATTTTATTTTCTCTCATTCAACTCTAAATAATGTAACAATATTATTTAGCTTTTAAATTGAAGAGAAGTAGATGCTAACCATAATGATCAACTACTATATACTAACAAGTATTGAATATTATCATTCAAATATAATTTATCTTAATTTTGGTAGATTAAATGAACATTAAGTTTGTCTTCCAAAAACATTTAAAAAATTAGACTCTCCCTTCTTAAAGAATTAGAAATATCAAGACAAACAAGAAAGGAAAGACACAGAAAATTTGAACATAAGAGCAACTGGCACTGAATCTACTGCTCACTTGCTGACCTGTGGAACTATTGCTTTGCCTTTATAATATATCCAATTTTTTATATCATCACATATGGGAGAATTTCTCCCCTAAAACCTGAAAGAAGCTAATGTATAGAGATATTTATTATTTTACTTTCAAACTATACAATTTTATGGAGCTAACCAAAGGAGTAAACACAAGAAAATTTCATAAACTGATTTGTGACAGAAGAATCCTTAAAAATGCGGTAGCTTCTGGAGGAAAATGATGCACCTGGTTATTGGCAGGTAAAATCAAAGGACAAACCAACATTAAGACACATTACTGGGTTTAAAAAAAAAAGTTAAACTAAGCTATTAATGCTGGTACAAAAAGATAAGTTGTTTTATATCTGTAACTGCAAATTATTTATCAAAATAATTGTATTAGAATAATATTTCCCCCTTCCTTTCTTTCCTATACTTTGCTAAGGAAATAATATAAAACATGTACGTAGAAAGCAGGAAGAACTTGAGCACTGTTTTCTTCCTGTGGCGCCTAGAACCACTGAATCCCAAGTGACATTGTGGCCAAATCCCTTCCAAGCTTCAAGCTCAAACATACATGAAATCACTAAACAGTCTTTGACAACAGTGATACCATGGGAGACCTGGAGTTGAATTAACCAGAGATGAGTTCATCAGCAGCTTCTGAGACCCAAATCACCTCAATAGTGGGTGATATCTAAACAATTGCCTGCTTGATTTAGTCACCGGAAATACAATAGAGCTCACATTCTCAGGGGTGTGGGAGAAGGGGATATAATCAAACAAAAAATATAATAGTATATCTCAATTTCAGATAGAAAGATAAATATAATGGACATATCAGTACCAAATATTAGACATTTAAAGTAGCAAGACATTTAGAAAGCAATGAAATGACAGCTACGTAAAGAAAAAAAATCTGCATAAACAAACACACAGACTAACCTTTTTATTGAAAGTGGCAAAGACATATTTAAAATAACAATTATACATGTATTCAGACATCTAGAGATAAAGTAGAAAGAATGAAGAGATAGCAATCCCAAACAACCACGTAGAAAAGACAAAAACTACAAATACAAAGAAAGTTATGGATATAGTAGTAGCAAGCATCACTGAACTTAAAAAGAGATCAATATAAATTATCCAAAACAGAAAACAGCACAAAGAGATAGAAGGGAGTTAAAATTTAATAACCCAACACAGTATTAGTAATGAAATATCACACAATCTTTTATATCTATAATAAACATAATTGTCTAAAAGGAGGTAAAAGGAATAAAGAGGAAGAAACCGTTTTTTATAATGGTGGCCTGACATTTTCAGATGTTAAAGAACACTATCAATTTATGAAGTTCAAAAAACCAAAAGTGCAATGGATGTATAGAAAATCAGATTTGACACATAATAGTAAATCTATTGGAATAAATCTAGTTTAAACAATTTTAAAGTAATTTAAAGGAGAAAAACTGATACATTACATACAGTAAGGTAGGAATAAATATAACAATTTATTTCTTAAAAGAAGTCATTCAATCCAAAAAATAGAAGAAAAAGTAAATACCACTTTTGAAATGCTGAAAGAAAAAAAACTCTCAAATTTGGGTTCAGTACTCAGCAAAGTCATTCTTTAAAATGAAATGAAGATAGTTTCAGGTAAATTGTAACAGTATTTGTTACTGTTAGATCTCGATTCCTATATGCATGCATGTGTGTGTGTGTGTGTGTGTTTGTGTGTGTGAATATATATATATATCCGAAATTCTCCAAGCTGAAGAGAAAATATATCAGTTGGAAATTTAGATCTACAGAAATTATTAAAGATCGTTATAAATGGGTAGATATACTAAACTGTCTTTTGCTTTCTCTAATTTTATCGAAATATATTGAAGTGTTCAAAGACAAAACAATTGCATTGTACGTGGTATTTAAATCATATATAGGAGTAACAATATTTAAAAAATGAAAATATGGTAAATAAAATAATACTGTTATAGTTCATATTTTGCATGAAGTGGTAGAATAATAATACAAAAACTTTAATAAATTAAGGATACATATTAAAATATTTAAACAAAATATAAAGAAGAACACAAAAATCCAATACCAGAACTAATGTACAATGCTGAAAAGTAATACTTTTTTAAAAAACTAAAAATAAAAACCAAATAAAGAATAGAGGCATTTTTTTAAAAGAAGAAAAAGATGATTCAAACCTAATTATATCAATATTATGTAAATATAAAAGGGCTAAATATTTCAATTACCAAGACGGCCAGGTGCAGTGGTTTGTGCTTGTAGTCTCAGCACTTTGTGAGGCCAAGATGGGGGCATCGCTTGAGCCCACAATTTCGAGACAACCCTGGGCAATATAGTGAGACCCCATCTGTAACAAAAAAAAAAAAAAAGAGAGATTTGTCAAAATGTATTTAATTAAAACATGTCCCAATTAGGCACTGTTTCCAAGAGATGCAATGCATATAAAAGCACAAATTTATTAACATTAAAACAATGTAGATATATATAAAACATTAAAATAATAAAGAAATGTATAGATGTAAGCATTCATCATAAAAATGCTGCTGTGATTTAATGACGATAAAAGAGTCAATTCATGAAGAACAAATAGTAACCCTAAATGTGTTGGCACATAATAAAAGTTTTAAAATATGTGAAGCAAATTTTCAGAAGTAAAGGGAAAAATAAACCAACTAACAATAATAGTTGAAGACTTTACTATTACTTTCTTAGTTATTGATGAAAATAAATGGACAAAATTAAATAAGGAAAGAGCATATATGAAAACAAACACTATTAAATATCTTTATCTAACAGATTATGCAAAAGTACAATAAATAGATAATAACATTACTTTTATATATGTATTATAAATTCAACAAGATAGACTACGTGATGGAGTATAACACATTATAGCAGTTTCTAATTACTAAAATTATACAGAGCATATTACCTTACAAAAACAGAACTAAAAATAAAAAATGGAGTTCTAAAAATTTTAAATATTTAGAAAATATTTAAAATGTTTTTAAATTATACATAAATCAAAGAAATATTCAGAAAGTCATTAAAATTTTGAACTGAAAAACTATGTGACTTAGCTAAAGCAGTTCTAAATAATAAATTTATATGTTTAGTATTCATATTAGAAAAATAGAAAAATCTAATACATCAGTTCTAAGCTTGAGAAGTTGAAAAATGAGAGAAAAGCATGTCAAAGGGGGTAGAAAAGAAATATTCAGAGGAAATGAATTAGAAAATATTCCAAAAAGCCAAAAATTGTTTTTTTAATAAAAAAATATTTTTTTATTTTATTTCTCTTTTACTTTTTTTATCTTGACTGATTTATTTAGGACTTCTAGTATTGTATTGAATAGGAGCAGTGAAACTGAGCATCTTTATCTTGTTCATGTTTTTAAGAGGAATGCTTTCAGCTTTTTTTCATTCAGAATGGTTTTGGTTGTGGGTTTGTCATAGATGGCTCTATTTTGAGATATATTCATTCAATGCTTAGTTTGTTGAAGATTTTTATCATAAATGGAATTTGGATTTTATTGAAAGCCTTTTCTGTGTCTACTGAGACGATCACATGGTTTTTGTTTTTAATTCTGTTTATGTGGTGAATCATATTTATTTGTTTGTGTATGTTGAACCAACCCTGAATCCCAGGAATAAAACCTACTTGTTCATAGTGAATTAAATTTTTCATGTGCTGCTGGATTCAGTTTGCTATCATTTTGTTGAGAATTTTCACATCTTTGTTCATCAGAGATATTAGTCTGTAGTTTATTTTTTTAATTGTGTCTGTCAGATTTTGGTATCACGGTGATGTTGGCTTCATGAGATTAGCTGGAAAGGAGTCTTACCTCTTGGATTTTGGGGAACAGTTTTAATAGAATTAGTATCAGATCTTTTTTGCACATTTGGTAGAATTTGGTTGTGAATCCTTCTGGTCCAAGGTTACAAAATACTGCTGAAAGAAATCAGGGACGACACAAACAAGTAAAAAAATATGCCATGCTCATGGATTGGCATTGTTAAAATAACCATACTGCCCAAAGCAATCTACAGATTCAACACTATTTCCCTCAAACTACCAATGTCATTTTTCACATCACTAGAAAAAAAAACAAAAATTCATATGAAACAAAAGAGAACCTGAATAGCCAAGGCAATCCTAAACAAAAATAACAAAGTTTAAAGCATCACATTACCCAATTTCAAACTATACTACAATGCTCCAGTAACCAAAACAGCACAGTACTGGAACAAAAACAGGCACCTAGACCAGTAGAATAGAAGAGAGGTCCCAGAAATAAAGTGACACACCTAACAGACATCTTATCTAAGCCATAAGGAAAGGACTGCCTCTTCAATAAATAGAGCTGGGATAACTGGCTAGCCATATGTAGGAGAATGAAACTGAACTCTTACCTTTTCCCATATACTAAAAGTAACTTAAGATGGAATAAAGATTTAACTGTAAGACCTCAAACTATAAGAATCATAGAAAAAAAAATGAAGAAATGTCATGTGGACATGGGCCTTGGGAAAGAATTTATGAACAAGTCTTCAAAAGCAATTGCAACAAAAACAAAAATTAACAAATGGGACCTAATTAAACTAAGGAGAGTCTGTGCAGCAAAATAAACTATTAATAAATTAAAAAGCCACCATATAGAGTGGGAGAAAATATTTTCAAATGATGCATCCAACAAAGATCTAATATCCAGGAATCCCACAAGGTTATCAGAAAAATTCTCTTATGATGAGTCAGAAAACCAATCATGTTCTTTGAAGCAGTTTGGAAGAAGTAATCTTTTTAAAGATGTAACAAAGGCCTACTAAATAAAAGAGAAGAGTTTACCAGCATCTTAGCCTACATGGGGGTAGGGAAGTAATCAAACTTTAGATACTGCTAGCTTTACTGTATCATACAAAATGGGATTCTCTAATAAATACTTGTGAATGTCATAGCTGAAAAATGAATCCTTAATAAAAAAAACTGAGACTGAATCATAGCATTATAGAACACTTCCTTTCTCTCACAGTTTGACATAACATCAGCAGGGCATAAGTATATTAACAATAGATTATAGCTAAAAAACTGCAAGTGTCAGACTCTCTTTAAAAATTATTGTTTAGAGAAATCTAGACAAAAGGGCACATGCAAAAAAACAAGCAAACCCAAAAACCTAGAAGAAAATCAAAGACTTGCCTTTCTTCTTTGATTGGGCTGTGTTTAGTGCAGCTACAGCAAGCAATAAACACAGCCCAATTCCTAGTTCAGAATAACATAAAACATCACAGCAAAGGTCTATTTCCCATAGTTCCCATTAGGTGATACATGATATACAGCTTTTTAAAAATGCAAAGCATAATAAAAGCCAAGAAATACAACAGCCTGAAGAGACAAAGCATGCATCAAAACCAGACTCAGACATGGCAGAGTTTGCAATTATCAGACTGGGAATTTTCCATAACTATGAATGGTATCTTAAGAATTCTGTTGAAAAAGCCAAAATGCAGTAACAAAGGGGCAATGTAAGTACAGAGATTTTTAAAAATCTAAAAAATATTGAAAATTTTCTATCTATTGAAAACTCTGTAATACAAATAAAGAACATCCTTAATGGACTCATCACTGGACTGGACATGCCAAAGGATAAAATCAGTGAGCTTAAATGTGTATCAATAAAAGTTTCATAAAGTGACATGCAAAGAGAAAAATAAAACAAAACAAAAGAGAATATCAAAGACCTATGGAACAATTTCAGATGCAACATATGTATTATGGGAATACCAGAAGAAGAAAGAGATAGGAAAGAGAGAAAATATCTGAAGTAATAATTTCTGAGAATATTTCATATATTAATGGCAGACATCAAACCATAGATTCGGGAACACACAGTGATTGCCAAGCAGGTTAAAAAAAACAAAACAAAATAAACAAAAATAAACAAATTCACATGTCAGCATATTATATTCAAACCAAATAATACCAAAGATAAAATAAAAATCAGGAAATCAGCCATGTAAAAAGACAAACATCTAATCTGTGGAGGAACAAGTATAACAACTACATTGACCATCTTATCAGGAACCATGCAAAAACAATACAAGAGTCAAATGGTTTCTCATAGTAGTTTTGATTTACATTTTCCTCATGACTAATAATGTGAAGCATCTTTTCATATACCTGTTGGCCACTTTAATGTCTTCTTTGAAGAAATATCTATTTATGTTTCTTCCCCATTTAAAAAATTGAGCTATATGTTTTACTCTATAGAGTTGTATATCTTTATACATTTTTGATATTAACTCTTATTAAGCATATAGTTTACACAGCTGTTTTCCTATCCATATATTGCCTTTTCATTTTCTTGTTTTCTGTGCTGTACAGAAGCATAGTTTGATGTAGTCTAATTCATTTATTTTTGCTTTGTAGCTGGAGCTTTTCATGCTATATCCAATAAATCGTTGCAAGGCCAATGTCAAAACGTTTTTTTCTGTGTGTTGGTTTTTTTTTGGACTTTGGTGGTTTCAAAGATCCATGATGATAGCTATCATCAAAAAGACAAATATTGGTGGGAGTGTGAAGAAAGGGAACCCTTGTGTACTTTAGATGGGAATGCACATTGGTGCCACCATGATGGAAAACAATATGGAGATTTCTAAAGAAATAAAAAGTAGAATTACTTTATGACATATAAATCCTTCTTCTTGGTATATACCCAAAGAAAATCAAATCAAATCACCACCTCATAAAGATATTTGCACTGGGGAGAGGCCAAAATGGCCAAATAGAAACAGTTCTGCAGCTCCCAGCGAGACCAATGCAGAAGGTGGGTGATTTCTGCATTTCCAACTGAGGTACCCAGTTCATCTCATTGGGACTGGTTAGGTAGTGGGTGCAACCCATGGAGGGCGTGTCGAAGCAAGGTGTGGTGTTGCTTCACCCAGGCAATGAAAGGAGCTGGGTGACCTCCCTCCCCCAGCCAAGGGAAATGGTGAGGGACTGTGCTATCTGCCCCAGGTACTAGGCTTTTCCCACAGATTTTTGCAATCCACAGAATAGGAGATTCCCTTATGAGCCTACACCACCAGGGCCCTGGGTTTCAAGCACAAAACTGGGCGGCTGTTTGGGCAGGAAATGAACTAGCTGCATAGTTTTTTTCATACCCCAGCAGCACCTGGAACACCAGCCAGATGGGAGAACCATCCACTCTGCTAAAAAGGGGGCTGAAGCCAGGGAGCCAAGTGTTCTCACTCAGCAGGTTCCACTCCCACAGAGCCCAGCAAGCTAAGAAACACTGGTTTGAAATTCTCACTTCCAGCACTGCAGTCTGGAGTCCACCTGGGATGATAAAGCTTGGTGGGGGGAGGGGCATCCACCATTACTGAGGCTTTAGTAGGTGGTTTTCCCTTGATGGTGCTAAGGAGATGGGGAGGTTTGTACTGCGTGGAATTCACCACAATATGGCAGACTGGCTGTGGCCAGACTGGTTCTCTAGATTCCTCCTCACAGGATAGGGCGTCTCTGAAGGAAATGCAGCAGCCCCAGTCAGGAGTTTATGGATAAAATTCCAATCTCCCTGGGACAGAGGCCCTGGGGGAAGGGGCAACTGTGGGCGCAGCTTTAATGGAATTAAACTTTCCTGCCTGATGGCTCTGAAGAGAGGAGCTGATCCTGACAAGGAGGGTTGTTCCAGCATAGTACACCAGATCTGCTAAGGGACAGACTGCCTTGTCAAGTTAGTCTCTGACCCCCGTGCCCTCTGACTTGGAGAGACCTCAGAACAGGGGTCAACAGACACCTCATACAGGAGAGCTCTGGCTAGCATCAGGGCGGTGCCCTTTTGGGATAAATCTTCCAGAGGAAGGAGGAGGAAGCAATCTTTGCTGTTTTGCTGCCTCCACTGATAACACCCAGGTGAACAGGGTGTGGAGTGGACCTCCAGCAAACTGCAGTAGACCCACAGAAGAGGGGCCTCACTGTTAGAAAAATAACTAACAAACAGAAAGCAACAACAGCAAAAGGCTCCCACACAAAAACCTCATCCAAAGGTCATCAGCCTCAGAGAATAAAGGTAGATAAATCCATGAAGATGAGGAAAAAACAGCGCAAAAATGCTGAAAATTTCAAAAGCCAGAATGCCTCTTTTCCTCCAAATGATCGCAACACCTTTCCAGCAAGGGCACAAAACTGAACAGAAAATGAAATTGATGAATTGACGGAAGTAGGCTTCAGAAGGCAGGTAATAACAAACTCCTCGGAGCAAAAGAAACATGTTCTAACCCAATACAAGGAAGCTAAGAACCTTGATAAAAGGTTACATGAACTGCTAACTAGAATAACCAGCTTAGAGAAGAACATAAATCACTTGATGGAGCTGAAACACACAGCATGAGAAGTTTATGAAGCATACACAAGTGTCACTGGTCAAATAGATCAAGCAGGAGAAAGGATATCAGAGATTGAAGACCACCTTGCTGAAATAAGGTGTGAAGACAAGATTAGGGGAAGAAAAATGAAAAGGAATGAATAAAGCCTCCTAGAAATATGGGATTATGTGAAAAGACCAAACCTATCATTGACTGGTGTACCTGAAAGTGACAGGGAGAATGGAACCAAGTTGGAAAGCACACTTCAAGATATTATCCAGGAGAACTTCCCCAACCTAGCAAGACAGGCCAACATTCAAATTCAAGAAATACAGAGAACACCAATAAAATACTCCATGAGAAGATCAACCCAAAGACACATAATCATCAGATTCTCCAAGGTTGAAATGCAGAAAAAAATGTTAAGGGCATCCAGAGGGAAAGGGCAGGTAACCTACAAGGGAAGCCCATCAGACTAACAGCAGGTATCTCAGCAGAAACTATACAAGACAGAAGAAAGTGTGGGCCAATATTCAACATTCTTAAGGAAAAGAATTTTTACCCAGAATTTCATATGCAGCCAAACTAAGCTTCATAAGCAACGGAGAAATAAAATCCTTTCCAGACAAGTAAATGCTGAGGGATTTTGTCACCACCAGGCCTGCCTTGCAAGAGCTCCTGAGGGAAGCACTATAAATATATATGTAAACAAAAAAACAGTACCAGCCACTGCAAAAACACACTGAAATGGAAAGACCATCAGTACTATGAAGAACCTGCATCAACTAATATGCAAAGTAACCAGCTAGCATCATAATGACAGGATCAAATTCACACATAACAATGTTAACCTTAAATGTAAATGGGCTAAATTCCCCAGTTAAAAGACACAGGCAAATTGGAAAAAGAGTCAAGACCCATCTCATGTGCAAAGACACACATAGGCCCAAAATAAAGGAATAGAGTGTTTCCCAAGCAAATGGGAGGAAAAAAAAGCAGGGGTTGCAATCCTAGTCTCTGATAAAACAGATTGTAAACCAACAAAGATCAAAAAAGACAAAGAAGGGCGTTACATAATGGGAAAGGGATCAATGCAACAAGAAGAGCTAACTATCCTAAATATATATGCACCCAGCAGGAGCACCTAGATTCATAAAACAAGTTTTTAGGGACCTACAAAGAGACTTAAGCGCCCACACAATAATAGTGGGAGTCTTTAACACTCCACTATCAACATTAGATCAATAAAACAGAAAATTAACAAAGATATTCAGGACTTGAACTCAGCTCTGGATCAAGAGGACCTAATAGACATCTACAGAACTCTCCACCCCAAATCAACAGAATATACATTCTTCTCAGTGCCACCTAGCATTTATTCAAAAATTGACCACATAATTGGAAGTAAAGCATTCCTCAGCAAATGCAAAAAAAAAATGGAAATCATAACAAACAGTTTCTTAAACCACAGTGCAATCAAATTAAAATTCAGGATTTAAAAACTCACTCAAAAGCGCACAACTACATGGAAATTGAACAACCTGCTCCTGAATGACTCCTGGGTAAATAACAAAAATAAGGCAGAAATCAAGAAGCTCTTTGAAAACAATAAAAACAAAGAGACAACATACCAGAATCTCTGGGACACAGGTACAGCACTGTTAAGAGGAAAATTTATGGCACTAAATATCCACATCTGAAAGCTGGAAAGATCTCAAATGGACACCCTAACATCACAATTAAAAGAACGACAGAAGCAAGAGAAAACAAATTCAAAATCTAGCAGAGGACAACAAATTACTAAGATAAGAGCAGAATTGAAGGATATAGAAACATGAAAAAACCTTAAAAAATAAATTAATTCATGAGCTGGTTTTTTGAAAAGATTAACAAACTAGACCACTAGCTAGACCAACAAAGAAGAAAAGAGAGAAGAATCAAATAGACACAATAAAAAATGATAGAGTGCCTATCACCCCTGATCCCACAGAAATACAAACTACCATCAGAGAATACTATAAACATCTCTACACAAATAAACTAGAAAATCTGGAAGAAATGGATAAATTTCTGGACACATAAACCCTCCCAACACTAGATCACGAAGTTGAAACCCTGAACAGACCAATAACAAATTCTAAAATTGAATCAGTAATTAATAGCCTACCAACCAAAAAACAGCCCAGGACCAGATGAATTCACAGCTGAATTCTACCAGAGGTACAAAGAGGAGCTGGTACCATCCATTTTGAAACTATTCCACAGAACTGAAAAAGAGAGACTCCTCCCTAACTCATTTTATGATACCAACATCATCCTGATACCAAAACCTGGCTGAAACACAACAAAAAAAGAAAACTTCAGGCCAATATCCCTGTTGATTGAAAATCATCAATAAAATACTGGCAAACTGAATCCAGCAGCACATCAAAAAGCTTATCCACCACAAACAAGTTGGCTTCATCCCTGGGATGCAAGGCTGGTTTGACATATGCTAATCAATAAACATAATTCATTACATGAACAGAAACAATGACAAAAACCACATGACTATCTCACTAGATCCTAAAAAAGTCTTTGAAAAAATTCAACATACCTTCAAGCAAAAAACTCTCAATAAAATAGGTATTGATGAAACATATCTCATAATAGCATAATAATAAAAGCTATTTACGACAAACCCATAGGCAGTATCATACTGAATGGGCAAAAGCTGGAAACAATCCCTTTGAAAACTGGTACAAGACAAGGGTGCCCTCTCTCACCACTCCTATTCAACATAGTATTGGAAGTTCTGACCAGGCCAATCAGGCAAGAGAAAGAAATAAAGGGTATTCACACAGGAAGGGATGAAGTTAAATTGTCTCTGATTGCAGATGACATGATTCTATACTAAGAAAACCCCATCATCTCAGCCCAAAAACTCCTTAAGCTGATTAGCAACTTCAGCAGTCTCAGGATACAAAATCAATGTGCAAAAATCACAAGCTTTCCTGTACATCAACAATAAAGAAGTAAAGATCCAAATTATGAATGAATTCCCACTCATAATTGCTACAAAGAAAATAAAATACCTAGGAATACAACTTACAAGGGATGTGAAGGACCTCTTCAAGAACTACAAACCACTGATCAAGAAAATAAGAGAGGACACAAACAAATGGAAAAACATTCCATGCTCATGGATAGGAAGAATCAATATTATGAAAATGGCCATACTGCCCAAAGTAATTTATAGATTTAATGCTATTCTCATCAAGCTACCATTGACTTTCTTCAAATAATTTGAAAAAAAAAACTACTTTAAATTTAGTATGGAACCAAAAAAGAGCCCATATATCCAAGACAATCCTAAGCAAAAAGAACAAGGCTGAAGGCATCATGCTACCTGACTCAAACTATACTACAAGGCTACAGTAACCAAAGCAGCATGGCATTAGTACCAAAACAGATATATAGACCAATGGAAAAGAACAGAAGGCTTAGAAATAACACCACATATCTACACCATCTGATCTTCAACAAATCTGACAAAAACAAGCAATGGGGAAAGGATTTTCTATTTAATAAGTGGTGCTGGAAAAATTGGCTAGCCATATATAAAAAGTAGAAACTGGACCCCTTCCTTACACCTTATACAAAAATTAATTCAAGATGGGTTACAGACTTAAATGCCAAACCCCATATCATGAAAACCCTAGGAGAAAACTTAGGAAATGCCATTCAGTGCATAGGCATAGGCAAAGACTTTATGACTAAAACACTAAAAACAATTTCAACAAAAGCCAAAATTGATAAATGGGATCTTGTCAACTTCTGCACAGCAAAATAAACTAGCATCAGAGTGAATAGGCAACCTACAGAATGAGAGAGCATTTTTGCAATCTATCCACCTGGCAAAGGTCTAACATCGAGAATCTACAAGGAACTTAAACACATTTACAAAAAAAAAAAAAAAAAGCACAACCCCATCAAAAAGTGGACAAAGGATATAAACAGACACTTCTCAAAAGAAGATATTTATTTGGACAACAAGCATGAAAAAAAGCTCATCACTGATCATTAGAGAAATGCAAATGTAAACCACAATGAGATACCATCTCATGCCAATCAGAATGGTGATTATTAAAAAGTCAGGAGACAATAGATTCTGGCGAGGCTGTGGAAAAATAGGAAGGATTTTACACTGTTGGTGGGAGTGCAAATTAGTTCAATCATTGTGGAAGACAGTGTGGCAATTCCTCAAGGATCTAGAAGCAGAAATACCATTTGACATAGCAATCCCATTACTGGGTATACACCCAAAGGATTATAAATCATTCTACTGTAAAGACACATGCACGTGTATCTTTATTGCAGCACTATTTACAATAGTAAAGACCTGGAACAAAACAAAATGCCCATCAATGACAGACTGAATAAAGAAGAGTGGCACATATAGACCATGGAACACAATGCAACCATAAAAAAAATGAGTTCATGTCATTTGTAGGGACATGGATGATGCTGCAAGCCATCATTCTCAGCAAACTTACACAGGAAGAGAAAACCAAACACTGCATGTTCTCATGCATAAGTGGGAGTTAAACAATGAGAACACATGGACACAGGGAGGGGTACATCATACACTGGGGCCTGTTGGGGGGTTGGGGACTAGGGGAGAGAGATCATTAGGGCAAATATTTAATGCACATAGGGATTAAAACCTAGATGATGGGTTGATAGGAACAGCAAACCACCATGGCACATGTATACCTACATAACAAACCTGCACATTCTGCACATGTATCCTGAAATTTAAAGTAAAATTTTAAAAAATTAAAACAAGAAAATATATGCACTGCCTTGTCCATTGTAACCTTATTCACAAAAACTAATGTATAGAAACAGTCTAAGTTTCCATCTATGAATAAGTGTATAAAGAAAATCTGCAATATTCCTACGTCTCACACACACACACACACACATACTCACACATTCAATGGAATTCTATTCCACCTTAAATATGAAGGAGATTCTGCCATTTTCCACAACATGCACAACATGGATGAGCCTGGAGGACATATGGTAAGTAAAATAAGCCTGATACAGAAAGAAAAATACTGTGTGATCTCGCTTACATAGGAAATATTAAAAATAGTCATATTTATAGAGATAGATAATAAAATAGTGGTTACTAGGGATGGGCTTGAGGTGGAAGAATTAAAGAGATGTAGGTCAAAATATACAAAGTAGAAGATTCTTAAGATAAACAAGTCTAAAATCTAATCTGAAGCCAGGTGCTTGTGACCAGTCTGGGCCACAGAGTGAGACCTCCTTCTCAATAAAAACAAACAAATTACTTTTTAAGAATATTTACAAAGAACATCTAATGTACAATATGAAGACTACAGTTAATAATATTGTATTATAGTCAAGATTTGGATAAATAAGTAGATTACAGTTGCTTTTGCCACAGGAAATAAAAATGGTTAACTGTATGAGATAATGAATATGTTAATTTGTTTTAGTATAATAACTATTTTGCTGTATATATGTATCTCATAAAATCATACACAATTTATTTTTGAAAAGACTGAGAGGAGTGAAATATCTAAAGTGTTGATTTAAATAATTATAAACAATTCTATTTTCAAAGAAACTATCTTTTAAAAATAATGGAAAAATAAAAGACTTGTCAAGTGAACAAATACTGAGGGAATTCATCATTCATCAGTAATCTTCCTACCAAGAAATGTTAAAAGAAATTCTTCAAGGAGAAGAAAAATGATATGTCAGAAACTGAGATCTATATAAAAAGAGGATGAGTGACAGAGAAGAAATAAATGAAGGTAAACTAGAATCCTTTATTGACCTAAAAATTATTTTTCAGAGTAATGATAGTAACTTTATATCGGGTCATTATAGAAAAAGATAAGTAAAACAAATGACAGCAACATAAGGATCAAGAGGAAGAAATTGTTAATAATCTGATGTAAGGTACAGGCATGACCCGCACACACATATAGTGCTATTTTAGGGTGGAGTTACATTTGTTGTGGAAGTTTCCTGAATTTAGAACAATTAATTTAAAAAACTAAGAAGAAAAGTGTTATAATGGTACTTTAAGAGAGAAGAAAAAAAAAGAATAAGACACTTCATTAAAACAAAAAAAAGAGGGAAAAGAATAGAAGTCAAAGTGAAATAAATAGTAGCAAGTGAAATGAATGGTAACAGTTACAAACCTGGTGGCTGCTAAAACAATTTTATTGATAGTAATTTTTTAAACTTTTATTTTAAGCTCGCGGGTACAACTGCAGGTTTGTTACATAGGTAAACTTGTGTCATGGGAGTTTGTTATACAGATTATTTCATTACCTAGATATCAAGCCTAGTACATATTTGCTGTTTTTCCTGATTCCCTCCTCTCACCCTCCACCCTCCAAAAGACCCCAGGGTGGGTTGTTCTCCTCTATAGATCCATGTGGTCTCATCATTTGTCTCCCACGTATAAGCGAGAACATGTGGTATTTGGTTTCTCTTACTGTGTTAATTTGCTAAGGATAATGTCCTTCTGCTCCATCCATGTCACTGCAAAGGATATGGTCTCTTTCTTTCTTACACCTGCATCATATTCCATGGTGTATATATACCACATTTCTTTATCCGATCTATCATCGATAGATATTTTGATTTCATGTCTTTGCTATTGTGAGTAGTGCTTAATGAACATACATGTACAGGTGTCTTTATAATAGAATAATTTTTATTCCTTTGGGTAATACCGAGTAATGGGATTGCTGGGCTGAATGGTATTTCTATCTTTAGGTTTCCAACGATGTGCCACACTGTCTTCCACAATGACTGAACTAATTTACACTCCCACAGTGTATAAGCATTCCTTTTTCTCCACAACCTCACCAGCATCTATTATTTTATAACTTTTTAATAATAGCCATTCTTTCTGGTGTTAGATGGTATCTCATTGTCAATCATATGATAGCTACTTTAAATACGAATGTTTTAAGTACACTAAGAGGCAGAGTTTTTAAGAGTGAATTAAAAAATATTGTAAAAAAGAAACCCACTTAAATATAAACCATGGACGGTAAATTTAAAAAAAGAAACTATCGATGGTTTAAATTGTAGGAATGGAGAAAGATGTATCATGCTAATACTGATCAACAGAATCCTGGAGGAGATTTACATCAGTATAATTTTGTAAATTATGCAGCTCCAAGGGTCTATCTCTCCACATAATCTTTTTTTAAAGAGAAGAAAAAAATGGTCAGTATCAGCTTTGTCAGAACTCTTGGAAATAGTCAAAGGCTTATAGCTTCTACCTAAGTAGTAAATCAATAAGAGGCAACCTAAAAATGGCATTCAAGGAAATCTTTCAAAACCCTAGCTACTACATGCTAAAAGAAATGGAGGCTTCAGAGACCACACACGATGTAGAATATGGTATATTATGTCTTAAGAAAAGGTTTAAAATTAACTAAACAAACAACTATTATCAACAAAAGGCAACAACAACAAAAATCCCAGAAGAGAATAAGTAAGAATCTGATTACCTTAGCTAACACATCATATGATTGACATATGATGTGAAATTAACAGAGAATATCCCTGAGGAAGCATAGCTGGAACTACTATACAAAGACTTTAAGCAAACTGCCTAAATATAGTCAGATAGTCAGATAGCTAAAAGAAACCCAAACATGATGTCTCAACAAATAGAGAATATCAACAAAGACAGAAAGTACAGAAATAATCCAAACAAAAGTTTTGGAGCTCTGAAGCACAAAATCTTCAATGAAAACATTACTAGGTCATTTCAATAGCAAATTTGAGCAGATAAAGTAAAGAATTAACAAACAATCTTAGGTCCACTGGGATTAACCGGGCTGAGGAGCAGGAAGAAAAAAAAAGACTGAATAAAGCCTAAGAGACCTGTGGGACACAATAAAGTACACCAATACATGCATAAGGGGAGTCTCAGAGTGTGAGAAATGAGATAAAGGAACAGAGAGAATATCTGAAGAAAGAATGAAAAAAGTCTCCAAATTCGATGAATTCATTAATCTGTACATACAAGAAACTCAACCAAATTTAAGAATAAAAACCAAGAGTTCCACACCAAGACACATCATAATTAAGCTATTGAAATCTAATGACATAGAGAAAAACTTGAAAGCAGCAAGAGAAAAGCAACTCATCATATACAAGAGATCCTCATTATGATTAAGAGTAGATTTATTATCAATGAGAATGTCATAGCCAAGAAAGGAATGGGATGACATATTAAAAGTGCTGAAAGAAAAAAAGAAACTGTCAACTGAAAATTTGTTAAACTATCCATCAAAAATTAAGGAGAAATTAAGACATTCTCTCACATGCAAAGGTTGAGAGCATTAATAATAATTGGCCCTATAAGAAATGCTAAAAATGCCCAACAAGAAGAAATTAAAAGACACTAGAGAGTGATTTTGAAGTTATATTGAAAAATAAAAAGCACCGTTAAAGGTAATTACACTTGTAAATATAAGAAGAAGTATTGATTTATTTTTGATTTGTAACTGTTTTTCCTGTGAGATTTAAGGTACAAACATAAAATGTTAATTATAGATCTATTTTAATGGTCAAGCATTGTATAAGGATGTAATTTGTGATGACAGCAACATAAGGGGAAAGGGAAAAAGCTTTATAAAAGCAGATTTTTATACACTATTGAAGCTAGGTGGTATTAATCAAAATACAGTGTTACAAGTTGAGTTTACTTTATTTTTTGTCCCCAGGTTAAATAGTAAGAAACTAACTGAAAGATATACAGAAAAAGAAAATAAAAATAAACTAAAATGGTACACTATAAATAAATAATAAAACAGATAAGAAGACAACAAGAAATAAATTTAGAAACAAAACAGAAAAAAGATAAGACACAGAAAAAGATAGCTAAATGGAAGGAAATCTTTCCTTATCAGAAATTACATGAAATATAAATGGATTAAATTCTCCAATGAAAAGATAGTGTGTCCAGAATTGGTGGGTTCTTGGTCTCGCTGACTTCAAGAATGAAGCTGTGGACCCTTGCACTGAGTGTTACAGTTCTTAAAGATGGTGTGTCCGGAGTTTGTTCCTTCAGATGTTCAGATGTGTCCAGAGTTTCTTCCTTCTGGTGGGTTCATGGTCTCGCTGGCCTCAGCAGTGAAGCTGCAGACTTTCATGATGAGTGTTACAGCTCTTAAGGTCTGGAGTTGTTCATTCCTCCTAGTGGGTTTGTGGTCTTGCTGGCTCAGGAGTGAAGCTGCAGACCTTCGTGGTGAGTGTTACAGCTCATAAAGGCAGTGTGGACCCAAAGAGTGAGCAGCAGCAAGATTTATTGCAAAGAGTGAAAGAACAAAGCTTCCGCAGTGAGGAAGGGGACCTGAGCGGGTTGCCACTGCTGGCTCGGGCAGCCTGCTTTTATTCCCTTATCTGGCCCCACCCACATCCTGCTGATTGGTCCATTTTACAGAGAGCTTATTGGTCTGTTTTACAGAGAGCTGATTGGTCCATTTTGACAGGTTGCTGATTGGTGTGTTTACAATCTCTGAGCTAGACACAAAAGTTCTCCAAGTCCCCACTAGATTAGCTAGACACAGAGCACTGATTGGTGCATTTACAAACCTTGAGCTAGACACAGGGTGCTGATTGTTGTGTTTACAAACCTTGAGCCAGACACAGAGTGCTGATTGGTGTATTTACAATCCCTTAGCTAGACATAAAAGTTCTCCAAGTCCCCACCAGGTTAGCTAGATACAGAGTGCTGATTGGTGCATCCAAAAACCCTGAGCTAGACACAGAGTGCTGATTGGTGCATATACAATCCTCCAGCTAGACATAAAAGTTCTCCAAGTCCCCACTAGACTCAGGAGCCCAGCTGGCTTCACCTAGTGGATCCCACACCAGGGCCACAGGTGGAGCTGCCTGTCAGTCCTGCACCATGTGCCCACATTCCTCAGCCCTTGGGTGGTTGATGGGACTAAGCTCTGTGGAGCAGGAGGCGGTGCTTATTGGGGAGGCTCAGGCCGCGCAGGAGCCCACGGCATGGGGGAGGTTCGGGCATGGTGGGGTGCAGGTCCCAAGCCCTGCCCCATGGGGAGGTAGCTGAGGCCCAGCAAGAATTCAAGTGCAATGCCAGTGGGCCGGTGCTGCTGGGGGACCCAACACACCCTCTGCAGGTGCTGGCCTGGGTACTAAACCCCTCACTGCCTGGGGCCGGTGGTGCCAGCTGGCTGCTCTGAGTGCGAGGCCTGCTGAGCCCACACCCACGCAGAACTTATGCTGGCCCACGAGCACCACATGCAGCCCCGGTTCCCTCCTGCGCTTCTCCCTCCACACCTCCCGGCAAGCAGAGGGAGCAGGCTCCAGCCTCGGCCAGCCCAGAGAGGGTCTCCCACAGTGCAGTGGTGGGCTGAAGGGCTCCTCAAGTGCGGCCAGAGTGGCCACCAAGGCCGGCCGAGGAGGTGCCGAGAGTGAGCAAGGGCTGCAAGGGCTGCCAGCACGCTGTCACCTCTCAATCCCCCCCTCTAAACAGGACACCCCAACTGCTGTTGGGAATTTGACCTATGACTGCTCTAGCTACTTCCTGCTGGATGGGGCAATGAAGGGGCCCTGCAGTCCTAGTGTCCTGCAGAGGGGAGCTCTCTAGGCCAGTGAAAGTGCCAGTGGGTCGGTCCAGGGGTCTCAGTAGAAGTTGTTAGTTGAACTCATTTGGGGTTCCATTCGTAAGACCATCTGTAGCTTGAAGGCCTTGATTCTAGAGGAAACAAATTTGACAAGAAGGTTAAAAATACAGGGCCCAAAGGTGAGTAACAGCAAGACGGCTGCCACAGGACCTAGAAAGGGGAGAAGCCATGTTGCCCAACTCCAGAGGTTGGTATAAAAGTTTGAAAGGCGTTGTCTGATTTCAGAAGCCTTTCCCTGTAAACTCTGGGTGGCATCTGGTACTATCCCTGACTGGTTAGTGTAAAAACAACACTCTTCCCCTAAGAAGGTGCAGAGTCCTCCTTTCTCAGCAGTGAGGAGGTCTAGGCCTCAGCAGTTTTGGAGAGTCATTGCTGCCAAAGAGTCTATTTAGGATTGTAAACTAAGGATAGATTTCGTTATTTCTTGTAAACTGTCTGAAAAATCCTTTGAGAGTGTGTGGTAGTAGGATAATGAAGTAGTTAAACTGGCTATTCCGGTTCCTGTAGCAGTAGCCATTCCTAACCCTATAAGCAAAAGCAGTGCTTTGAAAGAAATTTATTGTTGCAAATATCTACATTAAAAGAAAGTTTTCAAAACACAACCTAATTTTACACCTTAAAGATGTAAAATAGATGAGCAAACTAAACACACATATAGCAGAAGAAAAGGAATAATGAATATCAAAGTATCAATAAGTTAAATACAAGATTCAAAATTTATAAAATAATCAACAAAAGCAAAAGTTAGTTATTTGAAAATATCAAAAATTTTAAAAATATCTAGGTTGACTTAGAAAAAAATAACTCAATTACTAAAATCTGAAATAAATGTGAGGACATTACTACTCATAGTACAAAAATAAACAGAATTATAAGATAATATTATAGGCAATTATAAGCCAATAAATAAGATAATCTAAATGAAATGAACAAATGTCTAGATAAAATTAGTGAGACTAACTGAAAATGTATCAGAAAATATGAACACACCTATAACAAAAGAAATAATCAGTATTCAAAAGTCACCCCAAAATGAAAAGACCAGAGCAAAAATGGCTTCTCTGGTGACTTCTACAAATTCTTTAAAGAAGACAACACCAATTCTTTCACATTCTTCCAGTGTATAAAATAGAAAAGAATATTTACTGACTCATCCTATGACCCAAATTCAGATGAAGACATTACCATAATAAAAAAACTACAGACTAAAATCCCTCATGAATACAAATGGAAAAAATCTCTGAAATGCAATGATGGTTTAGCATGTAACAATCAGTCAATATAATATGTCACATTAATAGAATGAATAAAGAAAACCCATACAATTATCTCAATTGATACAGAAAACAAATTGAAATAAATCCCACACACTTTCATAACAAATATTCAAAAAACAAGAAATAGAAGAGAACATCTTCAGCATGATAAAGGTTATTTACAAAAATCTCATTCCATCATATACCATGGGATAAGAATGAAAGAATTCTCTCTAAGATGGGGAAAAAATGAAGACACTGGCTTCTATTACTTCTATTAAACATTGTACTAGAATAGCTAGCCCAAACATTTAGGGAAACCAAAGAAATACAACGCATCCAAATTAAAAAGGAAAAAGTAAAGTGAAATTCTTCTTATTCACAAATGACAAAATCTTACATATAGAGAATCCTAAAGAATCTACCAAAAACTTAAAAATTATTGGAGTTAATAAATGAATTTAGCTAAGTTGTGGGGCACAAAATCTCAACAAACAAAAATCAGTTTGTTTCTATAAAATAGCAATGAACAATCCAAAAATAAAAAAAAAAATAAAGCGTATGCCATTTACAACAGGATTCAAAATAATAAAATATCTAGGAATAAATTTAACCAAGTAAGTGAAAGAATTTAGCACTGAAAACTCCTAAAACATTGTGGAAAGACGTTAAAGAAGACATACATAAATGGAAATGTAGCTTGTGTCGATGGATGGGAAGACAATATATTTAAGATGGCAATGTTACCCAAAGTAATCTATAAATTTAATGCAATCTCTATCAACATTCCAATGGCGTGTTTCACAGAAATGGAAAATTCAATTAATAAATTTATATGGAATTAGAAGGTGATCACTTTTTTGGAAGTTTGAGAATAACGTATGTGGATACTTATGAAATGTTTAGTAGAATTTACTTATGCCAAACTTGAGTGTCTTTTCATGGTATATTTTTGAGATAAACTCTTTGAAAATTCTGTAATGGAACATGTTGATGTGTTCACTTGAGCTGTTTTTTGGAAGGGATTTCAGATTCAAATCTTACAGAATAGGTTCTATAAAAGTCTTCAAGCCGTTTTTTTTTTTTTTTTTTATTCTTTAAGAAATATAAAGATTTGATCCATGGGGTTCTTGAGCTCACCTAAAACTTTGCATGTATTCTTATCCAATCCTACATTTTTAGTTTACCAGATCTTTCCTGAAATATCTCTCATTAACACCTATTTTTGTGGTCTGGTTTGGTAACCAGGTGTGATGTTCTCCTGATACACGAGTCCTTGAGAATCTTCCTATTAATTTCATGCTATGCTGAAAAATGGATATATCAGGAAGACTGCCTGCGGTCTTACCTGCCTAGATTCATTGTTCAGTGTTCTGTATTTCTGGCTCTGCCTAAAGAAGAGCTGCTGTAACTATGATTCCTACCCTCTCAGATGTATTTTATCTTTGACAATAACCATATATAATATTCACCTATATTCTTAAATACCTGAAACCAAAAAAAATATGTTGATCAATATATCTGTAGATTACTATATATTTACCAAAGTATCAGAATAAACTTTCAATAATATTAGCTATTTTAAGCCGGTACTGTAAATAGCATGGATGCTTTTCTTCATACATAGAAGCTGACAAAAAAAATCTAAATTTAAAATTGGCAAGTGATTCTGTTCATTTCTTACCTGTGATTTCTGAGAACTGCAAAAAAATAAGTGAAATTTTTGTTGTCATAATCCAGTATTAATTTCTGATGGTTATTTCTTGGAGGTTGGGAAAGTTTTGTTAGGATGCAAGATACAATAAGCATTAGAATGTAGAAAATAATGATAAATTGGACTCTATTAAATTTAGAAACTTTATCAATAGATTTCCTTGAAAGTATAAGGAGCCAAGATAGCATGGTGATGACATTTCAATACACATAACAAATGGAGGGCCCCTACCAAAAAAAAAAAGAATTCAGAAAGAATCTTTGCTAACCAATAAAAAAACAAAGAATCCTATAAAAAGGTGGGTAAAATGTGCGAACTGGTAACCATTCTAAAATATTTCCAAGTGGCCAATAAATATTTAAAATGTGCTAAACCTCATCAAGGAAATGTGAATGAAAACCATCATGAGACATAACTACACATTCTCCCCGATTACTTAAAAAAATGCACAATACTCTTTAAGACTTTGGACAATGAAACTCCCATACACTACTTGTGAATGAGAAAATTAGTATAACTATTTGGGAAAATTGTTTTGCAATATTTCCTGAAATTGAGTTGATGCCTTCCCTATGGCCATGCAGTTCTATTCCTAGGTAGACACTCCAACCAAATGTATCCTGTTTAATCCAAAACTGTATAACTATTTGTAGCAACATTATTTACATTAACCCAAAACACTTGGAAATTATTTATGTGTTTATTAATTGCAATAATTAATCATTATTAATTATTATAGCGTAGTATAATAATATTGAAGTGAAGCACTACTACTCATGGAAAAAGAAGTGAATGGATCTCACTAACATAATAAGCCAGACACAAATAATGCATGTTGTATGTTTTCTTCCATGTGAAGTTAAAAAACAGCTATGTTGTCAGAAATCAGGATAGTGATTTACAATTGAGCAAGAGGGATTATTACTAAGGGTCAGTTAAAGGGTTTCTGGAATTTTGGTAGTATTCTGTCTCTTGACTTCGGTGGTTTTCATTGGTGTATTCAATTTTTGTGACACTTAGAATTGTATACTTATTATTTGTGATTTTTTTTCTGTAAGCATCTTATATGCCAATTTCAACTTAATTTAAAGGTTGTGAAAGTTATCTAAACAATCTAGCCATAACTTCTTTCAAAAGAATATATCTTCTGCCTTCAACTCCAATCCGTAGCTTAGAACTTGTGACTGAGCTGAGATTATGTAAGTAAAGGGGGACAACTTGTATAACAGATGCTCTCTGGGCACTGCTCTTCTGAACGTCTTGTAGGATTAGCAATGCCCAAGATGCAAAAAATTATTATCAAATCATTGAATCAGCATAAAGATTATAAAAAGTAAACAAAGTTGTTTATATTAATAATACAGAATTTTATTCACTGTGCATTCTTCTTTAGAAAATACCAACATAGACTTTCTTTTGGAATATAAGAGTATCTTCTTGATTTGCCAGAACAGATAATAATCTGTACTTTTGGTGTTTAATGAAGCAAGCTATTCTGCCTTTCTTCCATCTTCCAGCCCCACTCTCAGTAGTGAACCAAAAAAGTAACTTTGAGATATTCATTGATTTTTAAACTTTGTCTTTTAACATAATTTTGATTTGAATGACGCATTCGGCTCTGTAGTCATCCATGTAACTGCATACAAACAATTGTAATACTCTTTTAGCTCCATAATAGGCTTCTTATAACATGATAAATTCAAATACAGTAGTCCACTTAAACCCTTCATATCTCATACTCATTCTGATTTTTTTAACTATGGCATTTGATCTCTGGGTTTGTCCATAACTTCGTATAGCATTTAGGTTAAAATCATTAGATACATTCAGCATTTACTGAATTCAAAGTATTGATCTCTCTTTGGGAATTTTTTTTTCTGTCTTTCCTCTTACATTATGTTGTATAAGATATTAAGATAAAAATTCTGGTTTTCTCATGTAATAGCCTACGTGGTCATTTAAATAAAACTCTGTAAGCTCACTTTTTATGTTTGTTTAAAATTTGTTCAGTGCTTGAATATTCTGTCCTCAGTTGTTTTTAAAGCTGAAAAAGAATACTGTCAATCATATTTTTCAAGTCTTACATCCTCCAGACTAAGTTTGTGTTCATACTTTGACGTGCTTCTACTGCATATTAAAAGTGAGCTTATTTTTTTTTTAAATTCTTCTAAGATGAATTATTCTGCTTGGGCGGGCCAAGCTGTTCCAAAAAGCCTACTGCTGATGGTGCTTAACTAAAGTCAACAAAGAGAAGATAAGGCTTACTGGTATTGTTTGTTGAAATATTAACACCAATTCCAGCTGTAAAAATGATAAATACTTTAATAAAGATAGCTTGTTCCTCACCAAAGTTTGCAGTACTCTTTATTCTATCCATGCAGGAATATTCCCAGCAGACAGATTTAATCTCACAAAAGATATGGGTTACTAAAATGTGGCTATCTTACGAATGTCCCTAAAGCTTTTAAAACAAGCAGCCAACATGTACTACCTACATTTCACAACCTTTAAAACACCACATATCTTTTCCTAATTGCTTTTATTTAAAGGAACACATTAATTTTGTTTAAGATACTACTTCACAAATGGACCTCTAAGATGTTCATCTGTACACCAATTGTGTGATATTTTCCTTTGGTTCTCGGATTTTGTTTAGCTTTTTTTTTTTGTCTGTGTGTGGTGTTTGTTGAGGTTTCTTTTTGAACTTTTTGTGAGATTTCGTTTTTATTTTTGTTTTTGTAAAATACATTCACATGGACCGCATGGAGTCAGGAAGCAGCATAAATTATGTAGGACTACAGAGTTAAATTGTCGAACTAAACTTGGATGGTAGAAACATTAGGTACTAATTTGTTGGCAGAGATGCTTTGTGTCGTGTGCTGTGTGTATGCTGATTAAAAAAGCATTATATGGGTCCAATGCCACTTCAGTTTCATGAGCTTTTTATGTGACATGGCACATCAAATCTGCCAAGCACAGGACCATCTGGAAAGAGAGTACCAGTCAGGAAGTTGATTTCATATGAAGGAAAATAATCTAGGTAAATATTACACATAATTAAAGATAAAAAAGTAACAGATGGAAACATGGCAATTGTGTACATATGTATGTATATACACACACATATATATGTACACACATAATTATACATATATACCCACATTACATATATAAACATCTGTGTCAGTATCTATATCATTTAACAAATAAATAATTTTCTAAAATGTTTAGTGTATATATATGTAAGTTCAATCTTGTTTGTATAACAAGATAAAATAAATAGTACTGCAATACATATTTTGTTAAAATATATCTTAACATTTAAAAATTATTTTCTCTGTAGTTATTTATAATAGTAAATTGAGCACATACCATGTACCAATCATTATGTTAGGGACTAGGGATTTCATGGCACTCCAAATAAAAACATTTGGAAAGAAACCGAACTGAAAAATAACCAAAATGTTTGGAGCTGAAGTAGCCCCAAGTTGTACTGGGCAAAGCAAGGTTCGAATCATGGAGACTGAAAAGATTACAGGGGGAAAAAAAAAAAAAACACCTACGTTATCTTCATTTTAAGACACTTGAAATAGTTTAAGAAGGTATGTATAAAGCACCTGTTTTTGTTTGTTTGTTGTTAAGTCACTGTCTATGACATAATAAATGCAGTGAAGATAATTTACAGAACTGGAATAGTTTGCTTTAATATTTACAGGTAGATACAACAACCAACTTAGAGTTCCAACACTGTTGTGTTTTTCAGTGTTCAGTTTTTTTAACCACCTAATCGTCTGTTTACCTTTTTAATTTTTTTAGCCAACTTGACAGGAGAAAATTATGCATTATGCCAGTTTAATTAATAATCAGGGCAATAATTTTGAAATATCATATTTGCTATGCTGTAGTCCTGTTCTGTGAGTGTTCCATGTATGCCTTTGCCCATGACATCTATGGGAAGAGCATTTCAGGCTGAAGTGAAAACAAGTGCAAAAGAATTGAGGTGAAAAAGAGTGGGTTATTAAAGAGTCAGGTAGAGATTACTTTTTTACTTTATACCAAAGTATAAGAAAGAATAAATATGTAAATTTTATTCCATTTAATTTTTTAACATAGTATTATTATTGATTTAAATTAATTTCAAATAGCTAAAACTGATAGCAATTTGCTATAGAGAATTAGATATATTGTTACAAAATCAAGTATATGCATATATATGTTTTATGTATGTATATAGACATAGGTTTACATGTTTGTATATATTAATACGTATTTATAAATATTTGAATTTATACATATTAATATTTATATATGGATATGTATTGTATGCAGTACATATATACATAAATATATTGAAATATGTTTATATTTATGCATATGCATGCACCAAACATATATTTATTCATCTGTTTAGAAAAATAATATCCTATTGTTTTACATTACATGGTAAAATGTCATGAACTTCACTTTAGGTTAATATAGAGAGCTGAATTCACTATTTTTTTTTTTTTTTTTTTGGGACAGAGTCTCACTCTGTTGCCCAGGCCGGAGTGCAGTGGCACGAACTCTGCTCACTGCAAGCTCCGCCTCTTGGGTTCACACCATTCTCCTGCCTCAGCCTCCCAAGTAGCTGGGACTACAGGCACCAGCCACCAAGCCTGGCTAATTTTTTTCTGTATTTTTTTTAGTAGAGATGCGGTTTCACCATGTTAGCCAGGATGGTCTCAATCTCCTGACCTCATGATCTGCCTGCCTTGGCCTCCCAAAGTGCTGGGATTACAGGTGTGAGCCACTGCACCCAGCCTGAATTCAGTATTTTTAAAAAGTTTTTAGTAGTTTAAATTATGGATGCAACACAATTTATTTAACAATTTCTCAAAGAAACATAGGTTATTCATTTTTCCACTCCTAATAACTCTGTATTTAACATCTTTTCAAATATATACTTAGTCTTGATATTCCAGGTACATTTTTCAAAATGTTATTCTTTTGTTTTGCATTTGTCTGATTTAAAGGTATGGGCTTGCTGTGTACAGAAGGTAGATACGAATTGTGTTCTCTTCTTTGAGTCATATCCCCTGAAATCTTGGTGAGGAGAGCTCTTTTATGCCCCTCCCCCATTTTTTAAAATAATGAATGTAAGCTGATTTTGACATGAAGAGGCTCATTGTGAGGTGATGTTTTGTTTTTGACTTAAACGATAGGTCTAGGTAAGTAATGTGATGGTCTAAGTAAGAGTTTTAGGAAGAAGCAAAGGTATGTACAAGTTGTAGTTCTCATTGTGATGAAGAATGAAGCTGATTTGTTTAGAGAAGCAGAGATGCAAGCCTGAGGCGGAACAAGCAAATGTAACTCACGATTTCTTTGGTCTTGGTTTTAGCGTCCTGGCCACCTTGCAGTACATGTGTCTATGGGTTCTGAACAATAACCCTTTGTTGGTTAATTTTAAACTTTCTTTTTTCTTTATATAGTATAAGGGGTTTCTTATAGTAAAAATATTATTGATTTCTTATAAAATACTTTGGAGCAGACATTTTTCCACCATTATCCATTTTGTGAGTGGTTAGATATGGCAATATTTAAATACGATGTTAACATTTTGCAAAAACTGAACCATTTTGCAGAACATTTATGGCGTAGTCCTCTTTGAGGTAACATAATACTGACTTAAATTTTTATAATTAATTTTTATGAGTCTGACTATTGGTAGAATCAAACTGGTACTTTTTAAAGCATTCTCACTTTATCCATCTCAATCCTTAGTACCATAAAGGGTAAGTGTAAGAATTTTCTTATGTGAAAGGTTGATTAACTACAAAACATTATTGGAAGAAGATGACCAGCATTTCCCAAACTTAAAAGTTCTGAGAACATACTGTATTATTAGCAACATTTCTTGGAATCCATAATGTAGCCATAATTTATCAACACATTCCTTTTGTCTCAATTTAAAAAAATAAAAGACCAAGTGAACTAACCTGGTCCAGAGAGGTTACGTGACTGGCCCACAGTGACTGAGTTATTTAGTGACTGAATGTAGTTTTTGTTTGTTTGTTTGTTTCTCAGGTAATGCTCTTTTGGGGACTTATTGAAAGATAAGACTTCTAAGTCATCACCATCTCTCCAATTAAAAGTATAGTGGAGGCACAGGGACAAACGTAAGCCAACACCTGACTAATCCAAACTACCAAGAATATATTTTCAGTTTTTACCAAACAATATATTATGCAATTAGAGTTCTTTTTGGAGGCTTGCAAATCCTCTAACAGTAGAATTTTGTCTGTCTTTCTTTTAATTTTCCTGCTACTTAGGTTTATGTTAAGAAAATCTTTTCATCTTACATTAGTTCTTCACTGAATGCAAGTCTCTGGTGGCAATGTAATAAAATAGAATTTATTAATCTTAAAGTGGATTAGAGTTATCTTTGTCACTCTAGCCTGGAAATCATTCATAGCTGTCAGACAATTGGGATAAAACTTATGATCTCTTATCTAGAAAATGCTCTGTGAGCAGTAATACTTAAGATTCATATAATTTCAATTAATATATATGTTAATTCATTAATACATGAAACCTTAAATTGATATAATCACCCCAGCTTCACAAGATATTCATCAATATAAGTAGTTATAGTTTAAAATATGTATGTACTTCAGGAAAAAATTCTGTATATCATAGAAAGTAGAATTTGTCATATTGGCGTGTGACATTATTTCAGCAAGCCTATTTCCATCCTGTTCTTAGCTGCGTAACTTTTAAAGATTTATTGTTTCAGTTACAATTAGGTAGTAATGGTAATACTTCCAAAGTAAACGTAAGGAAGTTTATTAGCTTATATAAGGTGTAAGTCTGACAGCAAACTAGAACTACCTAAAAGAATTTCACTTCAGATGATAAAGGATAAGGGAAGGAACCTAAAAGCAGCAAGAGAAAAGAAACAAATAACATCCAATGGAGCTCCAATATTTCTGGCAGCAGACTTTTCAGTGGAAATCTTCTAGGCCAGTAAAGAGTGGCAAGACATATATAAAGTGCTGAAGGAAAAAGTCTTTTACCCTAGAACAGTGTATCTGGTAAAATATATTCTTCAAACATGAAGGAGAAATAAAGACTTTCCTAGACAAACAAAAGCTGAAGAATTTCATAAATACCAGACCTGTCCTATAAGAAATGCTAAAGAAATTACTTCAATCAGAAAGAAAATGTCATTCATAAGAAGTAAATAATCAACCTAAGGTACAAAACTTAATGGCAATAGTAAGTACACAGGAAAAACTCAGAATATTATAACACTGTAACTGTGCTATGTAAACTGCTCTTATCCTAAGTAGAAAAAATAAATAATGAATCAATAAAAAATAATAACTACACAACTTTACAAGACATAGTCATTACAGTAAAATATCAATAGAAACAACAAAATGTTAAAAAGTGGAGGGGAAGTTAAGGCAAGTTTTTAGTAGTTTACTTTTTGTTTGTTTATGCAAAAAGTGTTAAGTCATTATCAGGTTAAAATAATGTGTTATAAGACAATATCTGCAAGCCTCATGGTAATCTATAAATGAAAACGCATCCAATGCATACACACACCCACCCACACAACACACACACAATAAAAAGCAAGAAACTAAATCATATCACCAGAGAAAATCACCCTCATTAGAGGAAGATAGAAAGGAAAGAAAGAAGGAAGAGAAGACCAGAAAACAAATAATGAAATGGTAAGACTAAGTCCTTACTTATCAATAATAACATTGAATGTAAATGTACTAAACTCTTCAATCAAAAGACATAGGCTATCTGAAAGCATAAATAAAGAAAGGATAAAGGATAAAGGATAAAGAAATAAAACCCATTGATCTGTTGCCTACAAGAAACACACTTTACCTATAAAGAGGTATGTAGGCTAAATGTAAAGGGATGAAAAAGATCTTCCAAACCAATAGAAACCAAAAAAAAAAAAAAAAAAAAAAAAAAAGCAGGAGTAGCTATACCTGTATCAGACAAAATAGATTTCAAGGCAAAAACTATAGAAAGAGACAAAGACAGTCACTATGTAATTATAAAGGGGTCAATTCAGCAAGAGGATATAACAAGTTTAAATATATATGCTCCCAACACTGAAGCATCCAGATATATAAAGGAAATATTATTAGAGTTAAGAAAAGACAGGTCTCAATACAATAATAGCTGGAGACTTTAGCACTGAACTTTCAGTATTAGACAGATCTTCAGACAGCAAATCAACAAAGAAAGATCACAATTAATCTTCAGTATAGACCAAATGAATCCAATTGATATTTACAAAACATTTCATTCAAGAGCTGCAGAGTACACATTCTTTTATTCAACACATGAATCATTCTCAAGGATAGACCATATGTGAGGTTACAAATCAAGACTTCCAACATTCTAAAATAGTAAAATAATATCAAGCATCTTCTCTGACCACAATGGAATAAAACTAGGAATTAATAACAATTAATTTCAGAATTTTTAATTTAAGAAATTTTGGAAACTATAAAAATGCATGGAAATTAAGGAATATGCTTTCAAATGGCCAGCAGGTCAATAAAGAAATTAAGAAAGAAATTGAAAATTTTTTGAAACAAATTATAATGGAAACAGCATAGCAAAAGCTATGTGACACCACAAAAGCAGTACTAACAGGGAAGCTAATAGCTATAACTGCCGACATCAAAAAAGAAAAAACCTTCAAATAAACAATCTTATTCATAAACAATCATAAATCTTCAAATTATGCATCTTAAAGAACTAGAAAAGCAAGAGCTAACCAAACACAAAATCAGTAGAAGAAAAGAAAGAGTAAATATCAAAGCAGAAATACATGAAATTGAAAACAACAATACAAAAGACCAATGATACAAGAAGTTGGATTTTTGAAAAGTTAAATGAAATTGACAAGCCTTTAGCCAGACTACCTAAGAAAAAAAGAAGAGCCAAATAAATAAAATCAGAAATGAAAAGGGAGACATTACCACTGATGTTGCAGAAATTGAAAAGATCATTAGGGGCTACACTGAGTAACTACATGCCAATATATTGAAAAATCTAGAAGAAATAGATAAATTCCTACACACATACAACCTACCAAGATTGAATCACAAATAAATGCAAATACTGAACAGATCAATAACAAGTAATAATATTGAATTCATAATAGTCTTCCGATAGAGAAAAAGCCAGAAATCAAAGGCTTCACTGCTGAATTCTACCAAACATTTAAAGAACTAATAAAAAATCCTATTCAAACTATTCTGAAGATGGAGGAAGAGGGAATGTGTCCAAACTCATTCTACAAGGCCAGTATTACCTTGATTCCAAAATGACACAAAGGCACATCAAACAAACAAACAAACAAACAAACAAACCCACAGGCCAATATCTCTGATGAATATTGATGCAAAAATTCTCAACAAAATATTAGTAAATGGAATTCAACAATACATTAATAAGATCAGTCATCATCACCAACTGAAACTTATACCTGGGATGCAAGAATGGTTCAATGTATGCAAATCAATTAAAGTGATACATAATTATCAATAGAATTAAGAATAAAAATAATATCATTTCAATTGATACAGACAAGAAAGATTTGGTAAAATTTAACATCACTTTATGATAAAAAGCCTCAAACAACTGGAGATAGAAGTAACATACCTCAACATAATAGAGGTCACTTATGGCTAGTATCATGCTGAAAGGGAAAAAAAGAAAAAAACTGAAAACCTTTCCTCTGAGTTCTGGAACATGACAAGGATGCCCACTGTCACCACTGTTATTCAACATACTACTGGAAGACCTAGCTAGAGCAATCAGAAAACAGAAAGATATAAAAGTAGCCATATTGGAAAGTAAGAAGTCAAATTATCCTTGTTTGCAAATGATATGATCTTATATTTGAAAAAACCCCAAAGACTCCACCAAAAAGTATTACAACTGACAAACAAATTCAGTTTGTTTGTGTAAACTGACACAAATTGTGTCAAGCAAAATTGCAGGACACAAAATCAACTTACAAAAATCTGTGTCATTTCTATATGCCAACAATGAACTATGTGAAAAAGAAATAAAATTAGTAATCCTATTTATAATAAACACACACAAATTAAATACGTAGAATTAACCAAAAAAGTAAAAGATCTCTATAATAAAAACTATAAAATATACATAACAGAAATTGAAGAGAAAACCAAAAAAATGTAAAAATATTCCATGTTTGTGGATTGAAAGAATCAATATTGTTAAAATGTCCATACTATCCAAAGCAATCTACAGACTCAATGCAATCTTTATCAAACTTTCAATTACATTCTTCACAGAAACAGAAAAAAAATTTCAAATTTATATGTAACCACAAAAGGCCCAGAGTAGACAAAGCTATCCTAAGCTAAAATAACAAAACTGGAGGAACCACATTACCTGACTTTAAATTATACTACAGAGCTATAGTAAGCAAAACAGCATGGCACTCACATAAAAACAGACACATAGATCAATGGGACAGAGTAGAAAAGTCAGAAACCAAAACAGCATGGTACTGGCATAGAACCAGACACATAGATCAATGGACTAGAATAGAGAAGCCAGAAACACACCCACACACATACAGTTAGCTTATTTTTGACAAAGGTGTCAGTAACATACATGGAGGAAAGACAATCTCTTTAATAAACGGTGTTGGGAAATTGGATATCTATAAGCAGGAGAATGACACTAGACCCTTATCTGTCACTACACATAAAAGCCAAATAAAATGAATTAAAGACTTAAATCTGAGACCTCAAACTATGAAACTACTGTAAGAAAACATTGGAGAAACTCTCCAAGACATTGGTCTAGGCAAAGATTTCTTTAACAGTACCATACAAGCACAGGAAACCAAAGTAAAAATGAACAAATAGAATTACATTAACTTAAAAAGCTTTTTTACAGTTGAAGAATACAATCAACATAGTGAAGAGACAACCCACATAATGGGAGAGAATATTTTCAAACTAACAGTCTGACAAGGGATTAAAAACCAGAATACATAATGAGTTCAAACAACTCTATAGGAAAAAATTTAATAATCCAATAAAAAAATGGGTACCAGATTTGAATATACATTTCTCAAAAGAAGACATACAAATGGCAAACAGGCATATGAAAAGGTCATCAACATAATTGATCATCAGAAAAATGCAAATTGAAATCACAATGACATATGACCTCACCCCTCTTAAAATGGCTTTTGTCCAAAAGACAAGCAATAACAAAGGCTGCCAAGGATGTGGAGTAAAGGGAAACCTTATACATTGTTGGGAATGGAAGGTAGTACAACTACTGTGGAGAAATGTTGGGGGTTCTTAACAAAATTAAAAACTGAGCTACCATATGATTCATCCCATTGCTGGGTATATACCCAAAATAAAGGAAATCAGTATATTGAAGAGGTATCTGCACTTCTGTGTTTATTGCACCACTGTTTACATTAGTTAAAATTTTGAAGCAACCTAAGTGCCCATTAACAGATGAACAGATAAAGAAAATGTGGTACATATACACAATGCAGTACAATTCAGTCATAAAAAAGCAATGAGACCCAGTCATTTGCAAAAACATGGATTGAATTAGAGATCATTGTGTTAAGTGAAATAAGTCAGGCACAGAAAGACAAGCATCACATGTTCTCACTTACTTATGAGATCCAAAAATCAAAACAATTTAACTTACGGGCATGGAGGGTAGAAGTGTTGTTACCAGAGGCTGGGAAGGGTAATAAAAGGCTGGGTGAGAGGTAGGGATAGTTAATGGGTACAAAAAAATTAGAAAGAATCAATAAGATCTACTATTTGATAGCACAACAGAGTGATTATAGTCAATAATAACTAAATTGTACATTTTAAATAACTTAAACAGTGTAATTGGATGGTTTGCAACTCAATGAGTAAATGCCTGAGGGGATGGGTACCCCATACATCATGATGTGCTTTTGTCACATCATATGCCTGTATCAAAACATCTCATGTCTCCCATAAATATATACACATACTATGTACCTACAAAAATTAAAAATTAAAAAAATGAAGTCAGGGTTCTGTTTCAGTGAATTAGGTACTAACTACTGAATGTTACTACAAGGCCAAAAAAGACAGCCTGTCATTTTTTTCCACCCACACCTAGAATGCCATTTTACATGAATTAAATAAATTAATGGATGGATGTCTGGCTGGCTGGATGAATGAATAAGTCATCCATTTATATTTTTAAAAATATTTATATACAACTTATTTGATGAGATCAGCCATGGCAACATAGCAAGACCCCATGTCTGTAGAAAATTACATGTATATATCTAAAATCTTACTTGAAACTAAACTATCAGTTTTCAATCATTTTACCTTGCTTGAAAGATAGAAATGTAGAGTACAAGTTTTAACTGAAAAGAGAAATGGAGGAAAACAATTGACCGATTATACTGTAGAAGCCAGAGGTTGGAATTACATATCAAAAAGACAGCATTCCTTTTAAGGGTTCTCAGTTTAGCAGAAGAGACAGGCAGATATGGTGGAGATTTTAATGGAGTAAATGTGATAAGTGCTAGTATTATTAGGGCTCATCTGAGGATCTTGTAAATAAATCCAAGTGTTAAAGGTAAAGTTCAAGAAATATCATGGTGAGCAATAAATAACACATTATGTTTTTGAAACTATAGTTAGTTTTGTCTTTTCAAAACATGTAGGTAATAATGAGAAGCAGTAGAAGTGGAGACTGATATGGTTTGGCTGTGTCCCCGCCGAAATCTCATCTTGAATTGACCTCCCAAAATCCCTACGTGTCATGGGAGCGACCCAGTGGGAGGTAATTGAATCATTGGGGCAGTTTTTTTCCCCTGCTGTTCTCATGACAGTGAATAAGTCTCACAAGACCTAATGGTTTTATAAAGGTCAGTTCCCCTGCACACTCTCTCTTGCCTGCTGCCATGTAAGACATGTCTTTGCTCCTCCTTCACCTTCTGCCATGATTGTGAGGCCTCCCCAGCCATGTGAAACTGTGAGTCCATTAAACCTCTTTCCTTTATTAGTCACCCAGTCTCGGGTATGTCTTTCTTAGCACAGTGAGAACAGACTAATACAGAAACATAGTCAGGTAGCAGATTACAGTGAGTTTCATAAGCCCTGCTTTGAAGTCTGACTTTAGCTTATTTGGCTGAGGAGAGTTTGCAGGCTGAGAAGACTATAGAGGGAAAATCCTAGAAACTACCGATAAAGACAGATTAAAGTTTGGAAATGTGGATCATTATACACCTAGGAGCTCTATCATTTAGTCTATAATACCAAAGATATTATCATGCAAAATATGATGAATGGCTTTGCTATTCCATGTGGCATGCAGAAGAGTAGATAAAAGAAATGGAGGACAGCCAGTCTGGAGCTATGGGTATTTAATAGTGAGCCAAGAGGGAAGACACTAAATAAAACACATAAGGGCTCTTGTGGAACCAGGTATCTTGTTTGCTAGTTCTTTTTATTACTTCAGCTGCCTTCAGTACTATATTTATCTCTATAAGGCATTCCTTGCAGCTATACATAAATACTCTCACCAATAAGCTAATGAGTGGGAAAGAAAAAGAAATTTAACAATATTTTTTATACCTTTGATAACTGAGAGTAGATTATGAAACAGATGTTTTGCATTAAGGTGCATTGTGAAAGTGTACTCTAGCATAACTTCTAGAATTTTTCTATAAAAACAATAGCAATATATTTACCAATCAAGCAAAGTGTAGGCAGTTCAACACCTGTCAAGGAGATATAGTCAAGGAGCAACAATTATATCCTCTATATAATACTAATCCAACATATTCTAAATATATTTATTTAGACAAGGTAGCTTTTATTCTATATGCTAAAGAAAATTGGTATTTGGAACCTTAAAAGAAAAAAATTCCCCACTAATGTGTATGTCCAATACAATTGTTGGACAAAGGCAAGTTAGATTAGAATTCCAAAGCTACACATGGTGATAGAAGTGATTGTGCATTCCTTGGTGATCTATAAAATCAATTGCAACAATAGATCAAGCAGAATCAAAGTTGCCTGAGAAATCTCAGCACAAGTAACAAGTCATTACAAACCCTATTGAAACTCCCTTTTGTGTAATGACTAGGCCTAAGCCCAGACTGAAAACGTTAAAATAATTGACTCTGAGGGAGATGGGTGATCAGCCATGTTGCAACTTTTATGTAAAACTCTTGCTGAGGCCAGTATATTTTATATGGGAACATTGGAATCAAATTTTCCTTTAAAAGATGGAGATATACTTTTCTGCTACTACAAAGCAGGATTTATATAATTTATGTTTCAAATAAGACTGGGAATATTGTAGTATCAAATGAGGTATGTTTTTGGAATTCCATATCCCAAAGAAAGTTTTTTTCTATAATGAATGGAAACTAGCAAAATCTTAACATCTCACTATATAAGGATACTGCACCCACTTAAGTTGACTTTATCCTGAATGTCTTTTCACTGTGTGGAACTTAAATTTACATACATTTTTATGCATTCTAAGATAAACATATAGTTATGCATCTTCTTTGTTTCCCAGTTTAGCCAAAATGATGTATTATTATTTCTCTCTCTCTCTCTCTCTCCCCCCCCCTCATTTTTTTTTTTCCTCTCTCTCTCCTTCCATGACCCTTCTCTCTCCCATCCATCTTTAAGCCATGTTTTCTTTAGGGAAGATGGTGTTTTCTTTTCCTTATTTTTCGTTGAAAAACCTTCAGTTGTTTTGCTGTTTGACAACAATGAAAAGTTTGGCAATGGGACTACAATGAGAAATCTCAATTATCTTGGAAAAGGAAAATCAGATCTTTCATTAGATTTGGCCCATGTTCTTTGTGTGTGAGACATCAAGGCAAAAATATAATATTAACATTATTGAGATGTGATGGCAGAGCAGAACTTGACCAAAAGCATTATATACCTAAAGAAAAAGATGGAAAGTACCAGCCGCAAGAGAAATTAGGCAGATTTAGGAAGATATAAAATTGTATTTGTTAAATACAAATATTTAAGATGCTCACTTTAATTATGTACATTAGAAATGCAATGATATTCAGTCTTTTGGAGTCACTGGAAAGACAATTTCAATATTCAAAATGTCTACAGAAGATCACCTCAATCCAGATTAATTGCATTTTTGAATCATGTAACTAGCACCTAGCACATTTCCTGTCATATACTTGTTAAAATAAATTATCTGTTCTGATTTTATGCTCATTTGGTGAATCCATCCTTAAACATTGATTTACCAATGTAAACCAATGTATACACCTTCCTTAGATAAATCTTATGGTAACATCTTACCTTCCCTTAAGGAAGGGAATCAAATTATGTATTCCAACATGGGTATTCCAGTTTCACTCTAGTTATAATTCTTTCAGATAATTGAATTGAGTTGGATTGTTGGTTTTATTCACTGGTCTCATGAGTTTGGCCAGCTTTCTCTTTGATAGATTACACTTGTCCTTTGGCACTGTCATGTATAGATTTGGTAATACTTGATGATGCCAAATTCCCTATAAGTAATAATACTCTTGAAACCTCTTGACAGCTAGATTGCCTCTCCTAGTAATCTTTGCCTTTCATGGTAGCCTTTTGGACTACTACAGTTGATTTTGTTTCATTAAGAAACCAGGACTAACTGTTAGAAGAAAAAAATTACTTCTTCAAAATCATAAGAAAATAAATCCTCAATAGTTAACTGTTAAACTAAGTATTTTCTAGAGTGTAACACAGTGTGCTAAGGCTTTAAACATCTTTTCATTATATCTTCTCAACATTTTTATTGGTGGGACTTATTGTTATCATTTTAGGAATGGAAGGATTGAAGATTGAAGTAATTTTTCCCTGGTCAGTTAGTGATGGAGCTAGGATTTGAACCATGTTATTTCTGATTCTGAGTCTTGTATTTTAAAAGCTTGCTACCTATTGACAACAAGCACAACCTTATTAATGATTCATAGTCTATTTGCTAATATTACAATGCTTTAAAATCAGATTTTCCAAAATTTTGAGGAAGATTTTCTATGATAAAAATATTTAAGAATTCCAATTTAAAAACAGCTTCTTACAGAATTCTTCAGAGCTTTTAATATAACAATAAATGTTTTCAATCTAGAAGAAAAGAATGCAGCATAAACCCTTTTTAGGCTTATTTGGGCATAGTATATTATTTTCAGAAGGTGTTTCATAGGGCAAGAGCTTCATATACATATATTGAAATCGCTGATTTTTAAAATCTAGCAGTGAGAAACAAGGGAAAATTATGAAGCCTGTAAATTTGTAATTTTAATTAAAAAGCACTCATGTAAATGGAAATTGATAATTTGTTGGGAGCAAGCCCCCCAAAGTCTGGCCATAAACTGGCCCCAAAACTGACCATAAGTAAAATCTCTGCAGCAGTGTAACATGTCCATAATGGCCATAACGCCCAAGCTGGAAGGTTGTGGGTTTACGGGAATGAGGGCAAGGAACACCTGGCCCGCCCAGAGTGGAAAACCCCTTAAAGGCATTCTTAAGCCACAAACAAAAGCCTGAGAGATCTGTGTCTTAAGGGCATGTTCCTGCTGCAATTAATTCCGTCCATCCCTTCGTTTCCCATAAGGGATATTTTTAGTTAATTTAATTTCTATAGAAACAATGCTAATGACTGGTTTGCTGTTAATAAACGTGGGTAAATCTGTGTTTGGGGCTCTCAGCTCTGAAGGCTGTGAGACCCCTGATTTCCCACTTCACACCTCTATATTTGTTTGTGTGTGTCTTTAATTCCTCTAGCGCCACTGGGTTAGGGTCTCCCCGACCAAGCTGGTATCGGCAATAATTAATATCACCATCGTTAAATCGATTCACTAGAACCCAGAGTCTTCTAACTGACGCCTATCCTCAGAATTTACAGAATTTCTATTTGGATAAAAGAGCTTTATTTTCAGAAGAAGGCCACAGTAATTATTGTTTTTTTTCTAATAAGAATACCTGTAAACAATTTATATTTTGTTTTTATAATGTGCCCAGTGTACCTACAATGCAGATGGATGATCAAGAAACAGGAAACTTTATGTTCCCATCATTGACTTTCTTCACTAGTCAGCTATGTAAGTGGAATCTTGGGTTTTGGCACCTCACCTCATCTGTGGGCCTCACCAGAATTAATAAACTCACATATGCCATTTAATTTGGTCCTCAAAAATTGTGAAATAATCCAAAAAAAGTTTGTTATGAAAGATATTCACATAATGAAAGATTTGGCAATATTACATATGTATATATTTGTATATATATAATATTATATATACATATATAATTTATTATATATAAATATATACATATATAATATATTATAATATATAAATATATAATACATGTATATGTAATATATTTATATGTATATATAATGTCTCTATATTTTATCTATATATTAAACATATTTATATAGACATTTAAGAAATTTTACATTATGTCTTATACATGTATAAGCATACATAATTATATATGTATACTTAATTATATATGCATACATAATAATTAATGTATACATAATTATATACGTATACATAATAATTAATGTATGCATAATTATATATGTATACATAATTAATGTATACATAATTATATATGTATATATTATATAAATATATATAATATTTAATATATTATATAATATATATAATATATTATATATATAATATATTATATATATTATATAATATATATTATATATATTATATATACATATATAATATATAATATATTATAATGTATAAATATATATAATATATATAATACATGTATATATAATATATATTTATATGTATATATAATGTCTCTATATTTTATCTATATATTAAACATATATTTATATAGACATTTAAGACATTTGACATTATAAAAAAGACTCATGGAAAATGTTAGTGACTTGTCAAAATATTTTTAAAGTGTTCTATAAGTTGAGAGGAATTTATACTAATACAGAGTTCTAGAAAATAGTAAGAAATCATAAGTTCTTCATGTGCAAAAAAAATCTACTAAACCTAAAACAAATATCATATAACTAGAAATAAACATAATGTTTTAATGACTACTGATATATTTATAGGTAGAAAGAGCATAAGACAATTTTTTTTTTTTGAGATGGGAGTCTCGCTGTGTTGCCCAGGCTGGAGTGCAGTGGTGCAATCTCAGCTCACTGCAAGCTCCACCTCCCGGGTTCACACCATTCTCCTGCCTCAGCCTCCCAAGTAGCTGGGACTACAGGCACCCACCACCACGCCTGGCTAATTTTTTGTATTTTTAATAGAGATGGGTTTTCACTGTGTTAGCCAGGATGGTCTGGATCTCCTGACATCGTGATCCGCCTGACCTCGTGATCCGCCCGCCTCAGCCTCCCGAAGTGCTGGGATTACAGGAGTGAGCCACCACGTCTGGCCCAGACAATATATTTTTAAATACATAAGCAAAAATTAATGTTTTGATAAATATATTAGAAATACTTAAAAATAAACTATAAAATAAATTTGAATATATTTATTGACACTATTACAAAACAATTATATTGCACTATTGGCATCCTACATAGAATTACAAAGCAAGCAGTATGTTGAAATTAACTTGACATAATTTTTATACAGGTAGTTAGGGTAGATCAAGGCAAATATTTTGCCAAACTTGATGCAAAATAACACATCAAAACTATTTCAAAACCACACTTCTATGCTATTTAGCCAGCGTATGTATCACAGCATGCATGTTTGTATAGATTAAGCAACAAGAAAGCTTTATTTAAAACTACTATTTCAGTAATTGTCATAGTCACATAAATGGCAGTAAGGTAGTTTTACAGAATTGCAAAAACCTCATTTTTTATCTCAAAACCTTGAAAAATAATAATTTCAATGGTAGGAATCCCATCATCAACAAATACTGCAAAAGAATATCACTGATGAAATCCATGATGATACCTATCATCATTACTATTTGATTATC
The DNA here is from genome assembly GCF_000001405.40 of Homo sapiens. Taxonomy (NCBI): domain Eukaryota; kingdom Metazoa; phylum Chordata; class Mammalia; order Primates; family Hominidae; genus Homo; species Homo sapiens. The sequence continues at coordinate 172,919 of NW_009646200.1, read as the reverse complement.
GAAAACTGCATGTATTCTATTAGAAACTGTAACATCATTTGTATTCAAAAAATAAATTATCCTCAGTAACCCAAAAGTTCTTACCTATTTGGAAAAAAATGATACATGTCGTGCTCAGGACCATGCTGTAGAAAATAGCATTTCAGAGCAAGTGACTGCAGCTCAGTCATGTTGTGAGTGAAGCCTGTACTTCAGATTTCCCAGAGTGTTTATTTTTCACAGGAGCCACTCTATCCAACCGTCTCCCCAAATATTCACCCAGCAGGTGGTCTAAAAGTAGAAGTTACTAAAAGTAGAAGTTTATTAATTCTGGAGAGGCCAACAGATGAGGTGCCAAAATCCAAGATTGCACTTATGTAGCTGACTAGTGAAGAAGGTCAGTGATGGAGACACAAAAGTTCCTATAACTTGATCATCCATCTGCATTGTAGGTACATTGGACACATTATTAAATCAGAAGATATTGCCATACTTTGACAACTGGTCTTTAATTTCCATCATGAAGCCAAAAAATTTTGTCTGACACAAATCAGCATAATAACTACATTTGTTCTCTTTTATTAATGTGTATTATATTACTCTAATAATTGGTAATTTATCAATGACCAAATGATATTTTGTGTAATATATCCCATTTGACACAGCTGTATTTCATGTGACTTCCAAATGTTCTAAATTACTCTTTCCTAAAATTTATTGGTTTCTAGTAAAATATTCTTTTAACCTTTTTTCCTCAGCTAATATTTTGCTGATTTATCTTTTTTTAAATTTCAAACTCTAGCTTCAAACCTGCCATCTTTACCGGTATGAATTTCTATTTTTGAAAACCAAATAAGCTCAGCTTAATAGCAATTTATCGAAAGCTAGCTTGGAGTTGTGCGTGCAACTGCTTGGAGCACAAATGTAATAAGAAAATAATTGTGGAGAATTATAATGAGAAAAGTACCAATAATTCAGGCGATTAATCTTCTACAAAAGAAAGGATAGTTCTTTCTATGAAGCCAGTGATAAACAAATGCTATAGGAAGGAGAGGAAAACAGCAATCAGTGGGTTCATGTCTAGTATTTTCTCTTTTCTTCATTAACTCAAGCGCTGAGAATAAAAGGATGGGAATTTTGTAGGAGATTAGACTGGAAGAGTTACGGTTTGATTCGTTCTTAATGTTAATCATTTTCACATTATAAATTTAGTTTTGCTCAAATGTATTTAATTTAATTTGTTAAAATCAATGTTATCCCATAAATGTCTTAAGCAGATCAGTTTGCTTTTTTAATATGAATATATTTTTAAAAAACCATTTATTTTAACTTCAACTTTGAAACATTTTTCTTAAAGACCTTTCTTTAATTTATCTCACACTTCCTGGCATTTAGAATGAGAAATAGATTTCCTGTTTCTTAATCTAATCCTTTATGTTATTTTTATACTTTTTAGTACTTAAACACAAATTTTCTCATCATTCAACTACTTCTGAAAAATTCTCAGATTTTGAATAAATTAATTTGTGCTATTGTTGTAACAAGAACAGGAAGAATTACATCTTCAACTTTAGATAGGAGAATTTAAATTTACATCTGCTGTAGATATGTCAACAAAATTATCTTAGGGGATCTCTTTTGCATTTGACTTTTGGATTGGGAATTTTGTGATAATGCAAATCTCACAAATTTTAATATCAAACCTACATTAGGGCAGTGCAGTAGTATTAATTTGCCTAAGAGCCTGGCAGAGAAAAACATGGTTCTTGATATGTTCCTGTATTGGTGGGTAGATTTTTTTTTTCTCTCACTTTTCATTCAGTGTGTATCCTTCATGGTCAAACTTTATGTGATGACTTAACTTTCAGTATTATTCCTGTGGTCTACACGTGGGAATTAATACGCAATTAATCATAAACCTGGGGTGAGTGGCTGGGAATGTCAGCTTACAAGTACATGTCCAATATTTATCTTCCACTTCATTCCTAGCCTTCGTTTATTTTGGGGGCATTAGCTGTTTGCTATGCTTAATACCTACTGGCCAGATTTCCAAGGGGTTTGTAACAAGATGACTGAAATAATTGACCCAAGTCACGAGGTATTTTGTAACTAAAGCAGAATTTTTACTCTTTTAAATCATTGTTCTTTGAGATATTTTCCTGCACAATTGTAAAACATAAAATATGATTATTTTTCTTACTCATGAATATCCATCCTCCATATATATATGTATGTGTGTATATATATATATATGTGTGTGTGTGTGTATATATATGTATATATGTATATATATGTGTGTGTATATATATATGTATATATATATGTAGAGAGAGAGAGTTGGATAGTTTCTGGGTTGTCTAGTTTATTGAGATAGATAGATAGATAGACAGATAGAGAGGGATAGCTAGCTATATAACTCAAACTTTTTCATACCTGCTTAATATCGCATAATATACATATGCCAAAATTATTTAGCTATTTTCCTCTTCCTGAACATTTAGATATGGTTTTTGCTACTACAGTTATAAATACTTCTTAATCTAGAGCAGTTTTATGTTCATAATAAAATTAAGAGAAAGGTACAGAGATTTCTCATTTACCTTCTTCCTCCACACATGTATAATCTATCAACACCATTATCAATATTCTTCATCAGAGTGGTACATTTGTTACAACTGATGAATCTACATTGCCATATCATAATCACCCAAAATTGATAATATACATTAGAACACACTCTAGATGTCATACATTCTATGGGTTTGAATAAATGTATAACACATGTATCCATTATAGTATTATGTGGAGTATTTTCACTGCCCTAAAAATATTTCATACTCCCACTCTTTCTCTCCACCTCACTCCCCCAGGAAACCACAATTTTTTGCTGTCTCTAAAATTTTATCTTTTCTCGAATGTCATATATTTAGAATCATACTGTATGTAGCCTTTTCAGATTGAACATCTTTTACCTATTTATATGAACTTAAGTTTCCTCCACCTCTTTTAATGGATTGATAGCTAATTCCTTAGTGCCAAATAATATTTCATTGTTTGAATGTACCGCAGTTTATTTTTTTTATTTGCCTACTGAATCATATCATGGTTGCTTCCAAGTTTTTGTAATTATAAAAAAGTGGCTAAAACATCCATAAGAACATTTATGGTGTGGGTATAACTTTTCAACTTTTGGGATAAATACCAAAGAATACGTTTACTAAATCATATTGCAAGACCATGTTTAGTGTTGTGAGAAACCCCCAAAATGTTTTCCACAGTGGGAATACCATTTTTCACTCCTAGCAGCAACGATGGCCATCCTGGCCAGTATTTAGTATTGTCAGTTTTCTGGATTTTGGCCATTCTAACAGGTGTATAGTGATATCTCATTTTATTTTTAATTTGCAGTTCTCTGATGACATGTGATGTGGAGGACTTTTTTATATGCTTATTGGACACCTGTATGTTTTATTTGGTGAGATGTCTGTTAATGTCTTTGGTCCTCTTTTTAAGTGGGTTTATTGTTTTCTTCTTACTGTTGAGTTTTAAGAATTCTTTGTATATTTTTGGATAATACCCTTTATCAGATGTCTTTTGCAAATATTTTCCTCCAGTCTGTTTCTTGTCCTCCCATTATTTTAATAGTGTTCTTTGCAGAGCAGAAGTTTTTAATTTTAATGAAGTCAGCTTACCAATTGTTTCTTTCATGGATTTTGCCTTTTGTATGTGTCAAGCTTGTTTAACCCATGGCCCAATTGCTGCATGCAGTCGAGGAAGGCTTTGAATGTGGCCCAATACAAATTTGTAAACTTTCTTAAAGCATTATGAGGTTTCTGTTGCAACTTTTTTTTTTTTAGCTCGTCAGCTATCATTAGTGTTAGTGAATTTTATGTATGGCCCAAGACAATTCTTCTTCCAATATGCCCCAGAGAAGCCAAAAGATTGGACACCCCTGGTATATGTAAAAAGTTATCCCTATAACCTGATGCCAGCTAAGTTTTACTCTTATGTTATTTCTAAGAGTTGTATAGTTTGGGGTTATATATTCAGCTCTATGATCAATTTTTAGTTATTTTTTGTGAAGGGTAAGGTCTGTCTCTAGATTTATTTATTTATTTTTTTTTGCAAATAGATGTCCAGTTGTTCCAGCACCATCTGTTGAAAATATGATTATTCTCCATTGCATTGCCTTTGCTACTTTGTCAACGATAAATTGACCATATTTATGTGGGTCTATTGCTGTGCTCCCTATTCTGTTCCATTAAGCCATTTATGTTCTTCTACTAATACCACATTGTCTTGCTTTCTGTAGCTTTACAGTAAGTGTTGAAGTCAGATAGTGTGAATCCTCACTTTGATCCTCTCTTAAAATATTATGTTGGTTATTCTCTGTCTTTTGGTTCCCCATATAAACTTTTGAACTGGTTTGTTGATATCCACAAAATAGCTTGCTAGGAATTTGATTGTTCTATATATTCAGTTATTTCCTTATTTTTTTCAACAGAGTTTTGTAGTTTTCCTCATATTGATCTTTCATATATGTTGTTAGATTTATCCCTAAGAACTTTGTTTTTGCATGCTAATATTAGTGGTATTGTGTTTTTAATTTCAAATTTCACTTGTTCATTTGTGTTATATAGGAAAGTAATTGACATTTGTATGTCATCCTTGTATCCTGTAACCTTGCTGTATTTGCTCATTTGTTCCAGTAAGGCTTTTTGTTGTTGTTGTTAATTCTTTTGGGTTTTCTACGTAGATGATTATGTCATTTGCAGAAAAGACAGTTTTATTTATTTCTTCCCTATCTATATATCTTTTGTTTTGTTTTCTTGTTTAAGTGCATGAGTTAGTACTTCCAGTATGATGTTGAAAAGGAGTGGTGAGAGGTGATATCCTTGCCTATTCTGATATTATTAGGAAAGCTTCCAGTTTCTCATTATTAAGGGTAATGTTAGCTGTAAACTTTATAGATATTAAATTGAGAAAGTTACCCTCTATTTCTAGTTTACTGACAGTGTTTATCATAAGTGAGTGTCAAATTTTGTCAAATGCTTTTTGTGTTTTTACTATGATTATATGATCTTTCTTTTATAAACATAGCCTAGTAATATGATGGTTTACATTTATTAATTTACTAATGTTGAACCAGCTCTGTATACTTGGGATAATTTTCACTTGGCCATGGTGTATAATTATTTGTATACATTATAATATTTGATATACTAATATTCTATTGATAATTTTTCACATCTATATCCATAAGAAATGTTGATATGCAGATAAATTGTCTTGTCATGTTTTTGTCAGCTTTTAGTAAATAGGCAATGCTGGCCTCATAGAAAGAGTTAAAAAGTAATCTATCTGCTTTTATGTTTTGAAAGACAATGGGGAATTGGTATAATTTATTCCTTAAATGTTTGTTAGAATTCACTATGGAACCCACCTGGACCTGCCTGGTACATTCTGTTTTGAAACATTATAAATTATTGATTTTATATATATATATATATATATATATGTGTATATATATATATATGTATATATATATATAGAAGTATCTATATATATATAGAAGTATCTATATATATATAGAAGTATCTATATATATATAGAAGTATCTATATATATATATAAGTATCTATATATATAGAAGTATATATATATATATAGAAGTATATATATATATAGAAGTATATATATATATATATATACAAGTATATATATATATATATAGAAGTATATATATATATATATATATATATATATATAGAAGTATATATATATATATATATATGGGCTTATTCAGCTTCCCTATTTCTTATTTGTAAATTTTGGCACATTGTTTCTTTTAAAAAACTGATCCATTTTATCTGGAGTATATAATATGAGTTATTTATACTATACTTTTATTATCCTTTTGGTGATCATTAAATACATAGTGATGTTCTGTGATTAGTAATTTGTGTCCTTTTTTAGTTTGCCTTGAAACATTTTTTAAATAATTGAATTTCTGTGAAAAAAAGAATATCAGATTGCCTTCAAAACAGGTTGTGTGGAGTATCTAACATTTATAACAGTAATGTGATTTTCTTTTTTTCTGAAATTTGGTAAAGTTTAGACGGTGCTTAGAATGTTTGCCAAACAGGTGGATGGAAAATATTTTGTAATTTCTGCTGTAGCTTAGAGTTATCTGGATCCTAAAAATTGTACATTTCTTTGTCAATTTTTATTTATTTATTTATTTTTATTTTAGAGACAGGGCCTTACTCTGTCACCCAGGCTAGAGGGCAGTGTTTCAATCGTAGCTCACTGCAGCCTGAAACTTCTAGGCTCAAGTAATTCTCCTGCCTCAGCCTCCTACGTAGGTAGGACTACAGATGCACACCACCACACCTGGTTAACTTTTTAAATTTTTTACAGAGATGGAGTCTTGCTATGTTGCCCAGGCTGGTCTCAAATTTTTGGCCTCAAGCTATTCTCTCGCCTTGACCTCCCAAAGTGCTGGGATTACAGGTGTGCATAATTATACCTAACTCAGAAAAACTCTTATATTAATGACAGATGTACATTTTTAAAATGTTTTGACTATTATTTTACATTTATATTTTGTATCTGTTTTATTTAAAAGGAGATATTATCAATATTAGAAATATTCATACTTGTCTAAGCTACATATTTCTTGCTTTTTTTAAAAGTCTTCCTTTTTTAAGTTTTCTTATCTGTATTAGAAATATTCATACTTGTCTGAGCTACATATTGCTTGTTTTTTTTTTAAAGTCTTCGTTTTTTTAAGTTTTCTTATCTTACTTAGGATGTCCTCCTTCATATTAAACTTATTTTAAGAGCTTAGATTAGATTATTATCTTTTTTGAATGCAAATATAATTTATAAAAATGTTCTGCAATATAAAATTGTATAAAAATACAGCAATTTTTTTCTATTCCATTTTTGCTTTATTTTAACTTTGAGACTGGGTCTTTCTCTGTTGCCCAGGCGGGAGGGCAGGGGTGCAATGACTGCTCACTGCAACCTCTGCCTCCCGGGCTCAAGCAATCCTCCCACCTCAGCCTCTTGAGTAGCTGGGACTATAGGCATGCACCCTCATGCCCAGCTAATTTTTGTATTTTTTGTAGAGATGGGGTTTTGCTATGTTGCCCAGGCTGTTCTGGAACTTATAAGCTCAAGCCATCTGCCTGCCTTGACATCTCAAAGTACTGGGAAAACAAGTGTGAGCCACTGTGCCCAGCCTTCTATTCCATTTTTATTGATTGATTTAAAAGCATGCTTCAGGTTTCTAAAATAAGAAACAATTGGTTACTATAACAAATATTTTGGGATATTTTAATATTTATATACATATTATCTATCTATCTATATATACATGCTATGTTTGAACCATATCTATTTTTTTCTTTTTCATTCTTTTCCTTCTGACCATACAAAAATAAAGATTAATTTAAAAGAACCACGAAAGTATTGCTATGCTAATTTCTGAATTACAGAAACAAAATATTAAGTATTGTTTCAGAAAATTTATTTAATTATGTGTATTTTTCAATGTAATAAAATGTACTCTAGCTAGTGGTTTGATGATATAAATAATTCTGTGAGAGATATTTTTATCTGCTTCCTTTGCTCTTCCACTCTTTTTTTTACACAATAAGTTTGTTGAAAGGAATTGTGGGTCCAAGGTAGGAGGTTTAGTTTTCAAGCTTTTTGATACATATTTCTAAACTGCCATTCAAAATATTGTGCCAATTTTCATTTCCATCAGTAAATACATGAGTGTGCTTTCTGACTCACAGCACTGAAAATTATCATTACTAAACTTAAGCAAAAAATGCAAATGTACCTTACTGTCTATTAACATGTCACTTACTTTGGAAGCAATGAAAATACCCTGTGAGTACATAACTACATAAATTGTGAAACAAAATACAACTAATTATACAAATAAAATATATAGATTTCCACTTGCTGATACATCAAGATGTTCAAAAACTCTTGAGTTATATAAAGTTTCGTCACCATATGCCTATAATTTCAGTTTAGTCATATATATATTCATTTATATACGAGGCTTTGGGTTTAAACAACATAATGTAAGTGGATGCTAATGATACATGGTAAGTGGGTGGGTAGCCTTGACTTTAAAAGCTACATATTTATAACCTATTCACTAATTTTTCCAACAAATCTATGTATGACTTACTAAAGATATAATAAAGATGAAAAACAGAGAATCATATTTACAAAGACACAATTGATAAGCAACACAAACACATTATGTCATTTACTCATCCTCCTTAAAAGAGCCTGCCTTTGCATGCTAATAGATTCTGAAATAGGTAAATTCAATCCATTGGAGCTTTAATGGTAAAGTGATTCTAATGCAAAGAGCAATCCCTATGGTGTACAGAAAATTTGGGGTGATCTTAGCTAGTAAAGAGCATTTCGAAAATGTTGTGGAAGGCACTGGAAACAAAGTGGGCCCAGATCTGATCTCAGGGTACTCCGTCTCCTGGCACTGCTAGTTCCAGTTTGTCTAGGTCACCAGAGTTGGGCTGAAAAAATTTTAAGCAAGGAACTCTAAAGCACTAGAAACCCTGTGATAGGGGTCCCTGATCAGGTCCTTGCTTGATGAAGTCTCAGGGTGGTCTTTATCATGCATACAAATGAGGTTATAACACCATGCTCAAGTTATCGTGGCTTCCTTACTTTGTACATATTGGATAGTTCCCAGAATAAGAGAGCTGTGAAACCTAATTGACAATTTAGGAAGTTTTTTAATACCATGTTTGCTAATGAGATGTCATTACAAATTTTGTAATGTTGTGAAATGTAAGTGATTTTATTGAGCAGGGTGCATACTAATTGCATAGAAAAATCTACATAGTATTTTTTAAGAAGGTATTGTGAGACAGTGTTAATGAAAAGAGTCAAACTGTGAAATATTTGAAGAATTTATTCTGAGGCAAATGTGACCAATGACCCATGATGCAGTCCTCAAGAGCTCCTGAGAACATGTTCTGGAGTTGGTCAGGGTTCAGCTTAGTTTTATATATTTTAGGGAGACATGAGACATCAGTCAAATACATGTAAGATGTACCCTGGTTCAGCCTGGAAAGGTGAGGCAACTGGAAGTGTGGGGTTCCACGTCATAGGTAGATTCCAAGATTTTATGATTGGCAATTAATTGAAAAATTTAAGTTATTGCCTAAAGACTGAAGAATATCTGGATTAAAATAAGAATTTGTGACCAGGGTTTTATCATGCAAGCAAAGCCTCCAGGCAGCAGATGTGAGAGAGACTAGATTGTAAATGTTTCTTATCAGACTTGAAGAGTCTATTTCATCAGTAATTTCAGAATAGAGGAGGGTATAATGAAGCATGTTCAACGCCTCCCTTCCCATCACGGCCTGAACTAGTTTTTCAAGTTAGCTTTGGAATAACCTTGCCAAGAGGAGGGGTCCATTTGGATGAATGAGAGGCTTAGAATTTTATTTTTAATATACATTCTCCCCTTTTTGGCCAAGATTTGCTAGAAGCAACATCAATGGCCACCAAATTTTTACTTTGTCCCATAGCATAGCTGAGGTGGAATGGCTGCCTGCCCCGGGCCCATCCTGTCCCTTGGTGGGACCCTTCCCTTGCATGGCCAAAGACTTACATTTAAAAGATTTATGACCAATTCAAATGATCTAGGCCAGATGGGAATGGACATGAACAGACATTTGTTAACCCTTAAATAAATTAAGCAAAAAGGCAACAAACAAAAAGCCAAGGACAAGGTTACAAAGCTGACTAAGCTAGTGTAATCTTAGTTTTTGTTACAGGCCTATAGCAATTAGCTATACAAAACATAAGCAATATTAAAGACTTTTAGCTAAGGGATTTTAGAGATTGGTGCTGTAATGCCTTTTGCAGTCTTTTAGTAAGTTTTAACTATCAGTATTATACCCGGAACGCTTTGTCACAAAATGTTTTTATATTCTCTCAGTAATAATTTTCTTTTAATTTTATAAGAAGCATAAAATTCTTTAAGGTTGGGTTGGATGAAAATATGCCAGATAATAGTTCAAAAGAAAGTCTCTTGTTTTACCAACTGTTTAGACATCTGTGTACCCACCTACATTTGATTGGGGTGGTCTGAACTAATTCTATCCCTCAAAACCAGCCCCTTTTAATCTCATGTGTCCCCCTTTTCCATGATAGTTCCTGGGCCTAGAGGGAGGGCACTTGTATAGTTTTAGCAGCAGGGAATTTGTGTGAAAAAGTTTGTTTTCAGTGGGATGCCAACTGGGGGAGATTTGCACCTTTAGCCTTCAGAATAGCATTATTCTGGTTTCCTTGGAGGTAAAACAAGGAGAGATAAATAACATTAATATTTGACAATTAAAAGATTACTTGTGTGTCAGAACAAAAAAGAAAACTATTCCATGAGGGCATCAACTAAAAATGTGAAGAAAAGTTATAGTCTTGTACTCTTTAGAGGATCATTGTAGCCAAGAAATAATTCATGATTCAATCTGCACTCAACAAAAAAAGTCAGGGCTGAAATCCAGTAACAAGTGTTACACTCTTCCTTTGAAACAATTTCTTTCTAGCCCTCCTTTTCTACTAAAGAGAAATTATATTATTGTAAGAACAATTTGTGTGCATAGTTAGTTTTAGGTTTATTACACTTGGCTTGATTATTCACATCAAGTGCAATAAGAATTGATTGGCCATATAGGCCCTTTTTAATTTGGCTTTATTGGAACTTTACCTACAAATATATTATTCTAGTCAAAGTCTTGGTAAAATAACAAATGTCTTCAAATGTACTGTTTGAAAAGAAAGGACTCTTACTAAACTTATGCAAGTAACTATATTGTCATAAAGTTAAGAACAGTTTCCAAATTTGGAAGAACTCAGGTAGAGAGAAAGGTAAACTTGTTCACAAAAATGTAACTTGCCCAAATGCTGTAAACTATAAGTTACTCCAAAGAAAAGAATTTCCTTAACTCCCCTTTAACAAAAGCAGAAGACTCTCAAACAAAATGTCTGCCTTTGGAACTGCCATTCACATGCTAAGCAGCTCTTGTTACATGAGATCTCTTTATCAGGCACTGTAGGAACCTAGAAGCTTGTCACATAGTTAGAGTAAGTCTTAGGGGAAAAAAAGAGGCTCCCTGCTTTTGAGTATCTCCTCCTTGTACCCCAGGTTGCAAGATCCTAAGTAAACCATTTTTATTTTATCATGGAACTCTTTTAGACACCGTGATTTTCATTAGCATAAGGATCGCTTCAGGTAACATTCCACAACAAGGTAGTAAATATCTCTCAAATTGAAATTCTCTACTCTGGTAATTGCCATTGGGAAGTACTCACAGTTTTTTGCTATAAGTCACAATAAAAGGTCCACAAAGGGCTCTGAAGTGGAGGATTTGTCCTGACTAGCACTTCAGCTTTTACCCTATATTCTGTAGATTCAGGCAATCTTACTAGATCTCATTTAGTGTGTATAATTAACATTTCTCAAAGGGAAGATCTACATGCCTTCAGTTTTATACTACAAGATAGGGGGACATCCCCCAGTAAGGTAAAATACCCACTTTTAGAACACATTTAGGTAAAGGAATCACAACTACCTTGCATAAAGAATGTTTTTTAAGCATCTCAAATTTTATAATTGTAACAATCTATACATTTCTATGTTCTGATCCCAGGGAACTTTTCTACCACTAGACCATTTTACCCATTTTAGTGAAAAAGAATTTGGGTTCCCAGCAGGTGGTTGAACCAAGGGACTCAGGCTCAGAAAGATGATAATACTAATAGGCTTTATGTCCCCACCCAAATCTCACCTTGAATTATAATAATCCCCACATGTCAAAGGTGGGATCAGATGGAGATAATGAAATCATGGGACTGATCTCCCACATGCTATTCTCATGATAGTGAATAAGTTCTCATGAGATCTGATGGTTTCTTAAGGGGTTTCCTCCTTTGCTCAGCTCTCATTCTTCTCTCTCCTGCCACCATGTGAAGAAGGATGTGTTCGCTTCCTCTTCCGCCATGATTGTAAGTTTCCTGAGGCTTCCCCAGCCCTGCAGAACTGTGAATCAATTAAACTTATTTTCTTTATAAATTACCCAGCCTTGAGTATGTTGTGATAGCAGCATGAGAATAGACTAATACAAATCCCAATCTACAAAATGGAACAATTCCTTTTTATTATACCCTCTGGTTTGAACAGTTACTTGGTTTTGTCCTCCACCCACATTGACTTATTCTTTTGGTAAACACAGGTCTCAGAAGTAACTTTTTGTTGCCCCGGTTTCAGTTATTTTGGTAGATAGCTTTGAGGCTAGTACCCTGAGCTGACACAGACCCACATCTGAGCTTGGTCTAGCCTTAAGGCTCAACCAGGACTCCTTCACTTTCATTTCAGGTATTTACAAATAACAATAATTTTAAAATAAAGAAGAAAATTATATAGTACAACTAAATGAATAAAGAGAAAAATAAAAAGATTGGGAATGAGAAATCTTAATCCTTGTGTGACCATGTGGTCACTCATCTTGAGCTGAAGCTAGGCTGCATTAGTTACTAAACATAAAAGTTTGGGCTGGGCGTGGTGGCTCATGCCTGTAATCCCAGCACTTTGGGAGGCCGAGGTGGGCGGATCACGAGGTCAGGAGATCGAGACCATCCTGGCTAACACAGTGAAACCCCGTCTCTACTAAAAATACAAAAAATTAGCCGGGCATGGTGGCAGGCATCTGTTGTCCCAGCTACTCGGGAGGCTGAGGCAGGAGAATGGCGTGAACCTGGGAGGCGAAGCATGCAGTGAGCTGAGATAGCGCCACTGCACTCCAGCCCAGGCGACAGAGGGAGACTCCATCTCAAAAAAAAAAAAAAAAAAAGTTTGAATATTTTGCTTTTTTATTATTTGTTTGGATTTCCTTATGCATTCAGTGAACTAACTCTCTGGGGCTATGGGTATGATTCATCTATAAATTCCACTGGTAACTTTCATATTTGATGACTGAATACAGCCCAGCTGCAGCCCCTGAAGGTGGGTGACCACGTGGTCACTCAAGAGTTCGGATTTCTCATTCCCCATCTTTTTATTTTTCTCCTTATACATTTAGTTTTAATAAATAATTTGCCATTTATTTTAAAGCGACTCTTAGTCTCTAAACTGGAAAAAAATTACATTTTCCTTCACAAAAACCACATCCTTGTGTTTTTATAAATGTCACCAAAAACACCTTTTACTCTCCTGTAATTTTTAACTCTTAGTAACCCCAATTCCCAGTGACAAAACTGAGGTTACTTAATTTATCATAACATGACTTTAAAATTTTAGCTACAGGAGAGAATTTTGAGATTAAATTTACCAAATGAATCTTACCAAAAAATACCAAGGTAATTCTAATTAAAAGGCACCTGGGATAGCTGATGTTAATCTGATAAGCACTTACCTTTCTTTAAGCCAATAGCTTAGAGCTTGTTCCTATAGTTTAGTAGTGAAATATCACTTCTACCTGACACATATAAACATATAGATATAACAGACATACAGAAAAGGCAGGTGGAAAAGATTTTCCATTTACCTGTTTTCAAAAAATTCCCTCCAATACTTTACATTATTAATTTAAAAAAAAGTTATAGGAGATAAGATGTGGAGGAGAGAGTTACCATCTCAGGGCTTTTCAAAAGAGAGGAATTTCTGAAGTAAGAGTACAGTAGAAGTTGAACTTCTAAGATATTAATCTAAAGAATTTCTAAAAGAAACAGATTATAAAATTTAAAAACTAAAAATTTATATTATTAAGAATAAGTCAATATTTTAAATAAAATCTTGTTCTAATCAAATATTTAGTTTTGTATTACTGTATTTTAATATCGAAGTCTATTTTCTAGAAAGACTATTATAATATGTTTTTGATAACAGCAAACTTAATTAGGTAACTCTTTTTAAAAACTCTGGGGACTGTTGTGGGGTGGGGGGAGGGGGAAGGGATAGCATTAGGAGATATACCTAATGCTAAATGACGAATTAATGGGTGTAGCACACCAGCATGGCACATGTATACATATGTAACTAACCTGCACATTGTGCACATGTACCCTAAAACTTAAAGTATAATAATAAAATAAAATAAAAATACATAAATAAATAAATAAAAAATAAAATAAAATAAAATAAAAATAAATAAATAAAAATAAATTCATTTTTTACACAGACTATTCAAATTATGCTTGGACTTTATTTGTGTTAAATATTCTTCTTTCATGAACAACTATTTCTTTTATTTTAGGACAAAAAATCCACAATACAAAATTTTTTCTCATATAAAATCACTTTTAACTTTTCTTGCCAAAAATACCTCTTTATAGCTATAACTTTCTTTATATCTCTCTTATTTCCTGGTTCATTTTACTTTGTTTTATACATAACCTCTAAATAACCTTTGAACTAAACAAAAATTATTTACCTTTAAGAAGAACACACTTTTAAAAATGGTTTTTTTTTTCAGAATTTTTTTTTAACTTATTTTATTATTATTATACTTTAAGTTTTAGGGTACATGTGCACAATGTGCAGGTTAGTTACATATGTATACATGTGCCATGCTGGTGTGCTGCACCCATTAACTCGTCATTTAGCATTAGATATATCTCCTAATGCTATCCCTCCCCCCTCCCCCCACCCCACAACAGTCCCCAAAGTGTGATGTTCCCCTTCTTGTGTCCATGTGTTCTCATTGTTCAATTCCCACCTATGAGTGAGAACATGCAGTGTTTGGCTTTTTGTCCTTGCGATAGTTTACTGAGAATGATGATTTCCAATTTCATCCATGTCCCTACAAAGGACATGAACTCATCATTTTTTATGGCTGCATAGTATTCCATGGTGTATATGTGCCACATTTTCTTAATCCAGTCTATCATTGTTGGACATTTGGGTTGGTTCCAAATCTTTGCTATTGTGAATAGTGCCTCAATAAACATACGTGTGCATGTGCCTTTATAGCAGCATGATTTATAGTCCTTTGGGTATATACCCAGTAATGGGATGTCTGGGTCAAATGGTATTTCTAGTTCTAGATCCCTGAGGAATCGCCACACTGACTTCCACAATGGTTGAACTAGTTTACAGTCCCACCAACAGTGTAAAAGTGTTCCTATTTCTCCACATCCTCTCCAGCACCTGTCGTTTCCTGACTTTTTAATGATTGCCATTCTAACTGGTGTGAGATGGTATCTCATTGTGGTTTTGATTTGCATTTCTCTGATGGCCAGTGATGGTGAGCATTTTTTCATGTGTTTTTTGGCTGCATAAATGTCTTCTTTTGAGAAGTGTCTGTTCATGTCCTTTGCCCACTTTTTGATGGGGTTGTTTGTTTTTTTCTTGTAAATTTGTTTGAGTTCATTGTAGATTCTGGATATTAGCCCTTTGTCAGATAGTAGGTTGCGAAAATTTTCTGCCATTTTGTAGGTTGCCTGTTCACTCTGATGGTAAAAAAAAAAAAAAAAAAAGGTTTTCAATTATTATTAAATTAGAAATTAGAAATTCACCCAGACATTTAACTATCTATTATTTAATATAATATTAGATTCTAAATTATATGATGTTTGTTTATGAGAATTTATTCCATTGCATCTACCTGATTAATATATTTAATACTTTCCCTAGATTATTTATGAAAACTGTGATAGTCACCATTTAAAGTTATTTCACTGCTAACTATTTTAACCCTTTTATGCCTGAGGTTGCAGTTTTTTGAATTTTTGCAATCAGACGTTTGTGATGACATTGTGTAGTAGGATATAAATAACTCCCACATGCTTAGTGTTCCAATAATGGAACACTAGGCATAAATGGGTTTTAATAGCCTATGAATTTAAGGTTTTTACCTAAGTAGAAAACTAAGGTTAAATATATGGGCATTTTACAAATAACTCAAGATTTAGCTGTTTTCATTAAACCAGCAATAATTAATATCTTATTTATCAAAAATTATATAACCAAAAATCATTCTGTTGGGGGTTGAGTTTATAGTTTTATAACTCCTATGGCAAATTTTGACATGCTGTTTGGTTTTCAACTCAGAGGTGCATTCTATAGGGTCTTCTCCACTGCATTTTTCTTCCCAAATTAAACTCAATTGGCTTTTCTGCACATTTGCAAAACTGAACTGTCATTTTTATTGATAAATGAGAGACTGAGTTTCCTCAGTTCCAAAGAGAAAGTGCGTTTTGCTTCTCTCAGCCAAAAGGCACCTTGGGTGACTAGTGGACAAGTGGGAGTGTCTGTGGTATTAACTCATTGCAACATGCAGTGGGCCTAAAGGGAACCCACAAAAAAATTAGTTTTAAAAAGGCTCATCCAGGAAACAGATATAGGAGCTGGTCTCCCTGTGTTTTGAGCCCTTTGGAGCTGTTAGACCTCTGGAGAAACTGCCACACATAAGAGGGTGGAAATGACTCAGTGGTGACACACTATGGAGTCCTGCCCACAATCAGCACACTTCAATCCACTACACTAAACCCTAGGTCACAGTTCAGTTATTCCTTTTAAGAAAAAACAAGTCAGAAACAAATAATCTGAGAATAAGGAAAGACAATGAGAGTAACCCCTGTCAGGCATCCTATTGGTTTTATGGTGCCTTTACTTGCAAGTGTTTCTGTAACATGAACATATTATGGTCTTTTTGTGCGCATTTTAAACTGATAGACAAATTAAATCAAGGAGAAATTCAGAGCCCAAAGGTTAACCTGCAACTATAGCATTCTTAAGCTCTCTACTTCTCTATTTTCTTTTCTGCCTGCTTTAAATCTGCTGTTACTTTTCTACTTAAATAAAAACCACAGTTTGGATCCAACCATTTTGTTTTTGTTGTTGCAAACTGAAGAGTTTGTATTAATATCTCATGGCTAGAATTCTGAAGTAAAACTATAGGATCTTTGTTTTTTTTGTGTGTCTATGTGTACGTACATATATTTTGTTATGTGTATTGGCCACAAGATACTGAAATGGCTAAAATTTAAAGAGTACTCATAAGTTAAATAATAAGCCCAAAGGCTTTTCAAGTTCATGTGACAAAAGTAAAATCTTTAGTAAGTAGTCTGATTTTAAAATTATTGGTAAAGTCATATTAGAAATGTCTTAAGAATTGTCAGCATTTTTGTTTGCATTTATCGATCAAGAAGTTTAATACTTATTCTTGAAGAATACTATAACGTTAACTCAGAAGTGTCTTTCTCTGCAGCAGTGGTTCTCCAAATTACATGCTCATAAAAAGAACTTGGAGGACCTGTTGAAACAGAGAAAGCTGAATCTCACACCAGAGATTCTGAGAGTAAGTCCAGATTGAGGGACCAAATTTGCATTTCTAACAAATTCCCAAATAATGCTAATGTTGTTGGTCCAGAAATCACCTTTTGAAAATCACTGGTTTATAACCTTTACTCTTTGTTAATAGTCAATCTTCTTACCAATCTGCATTTTGTAATTGGGAACAAATATTTTTGGAGATCAGAGGGCTTAAACCAAAAACTATATGATATATTCCTTTTTATCTTGTATGAAATGACTGTATTAGAATAAATTTAATGTGTTCATTGTATTTCTGAAATATAGTGATACTGCAGAGGCATTAGAAGTTAGTTGTAATGGAAGTGGTTGATTGCAAATAGAATTAACAGTTGTTTTCGTTATTTGTTTTTGTTTCCTGTTTACGAGACAATGTCTCACTCTTTCACCTAAGCTGGAGTGCAGTGGCGTAATCACGACTCACTGCAGCTTCAACATCTGGCCCATCTAGGCCCAACTGATCCTCCCACCTCAGCCTTCTGAGTAGCTGGGCCTGCAGGTTCATGCCACCATACCCAGATAATTTTTTCAAATTATTTTTAGAAGAGATGAGGTATTGCTATGTTGTCCAGGCTGGCTTCAAACTCTTGGCTTCATCTGGTTCTCCCACCTTGGCTTTCCAAAGTTCTGGGGTTACAGCACAAGCTACTATGCTGAGCACAAGTAATAGTTAAGCTGTGACTATATAGGATGAGAAAAAACGTTCGATTTTAATAAGCAAGATTTCACTTGGGATTGCTATCATAAAATAAGGGTCTTTTGGAAATCACTGGTTGATTTTAGATAGTAGAGAATTCTCTTAATAAAAAAATGAAGATAAGGTAATAAAATTCAAAAAGAAATTCTAGAAAAGTACAGAAGACACAGGAAAAGAGAACTGCTATGCATTCATGAAAAAGAATGAGATCATGTCCTTTGCAGGGACATGGATGGAACTGGAGGCCATTATCTTTAGCAAACTAACATAGAAACAGAAAACCAAATACTGCATGTTCTCATTTGTAAGTGAAGCTAAATGATGAGAACACATGCACACATCGAGGGGAACAACACACACTGGGGTGTATCATAGGGTGTATGGTGAGAAAAGGGTGAGGATCATACAAAAGAACTAATAGGTACTAGGCTTAATACCTGAATGATGAAATAATCTGTACAACAAAACCCCATGATACAAGTTTACCTATGTAACACATCTGCATATGTAACCCTGAACTTAAAATAAAAGTTAAAAAAGAAAAAGTGAAGTATTTATCATTGAAGTACGTAATATTTGTAATTATTAATAATATAGATGTGATATTTGTACCATTTTCTAAACAATAACTCAAATTTAAATTTTAATGCTGGTTCAAAAATAGAATCAAAATAAGGAAAGTTAATACATTTCACGATATGGCAGTAAAAATACATATTTTTGAAGCCATAGATAAAAACCTGCTACATGTTTTTTGTGTGTTCATCCTTAGAGACCTATTTATTGGTTGTCTTTTGTAATTTTTCTTACATCATAATGTACAATGTCTACATTAAATCTTTAATCACATAAAACATTTGAATCCATTTGTTTGAAGTCAATTTTTCAAAGTTTTCTCTGTTTGGGCCGGGCGCATTGGCTCAGGCCTGTAATCCCAGCACTTTGGGAGGCCAAGGAGGGCAGATCATTTGAGGTCAGGAGTTTGAGACCAGCCTAGCCAACATGGTGAAACCCAGTCTCTAATAAAAATACAAAAATTATCCCTGTGTGATGGCAGGGGCCTGTAATCCCAGCTACTTGGGAGGCTGAGGCACAAGAATTGCTTGAACCCGGAAGGTGGAGGTTGCACAGAGCTGAGATCATGCCACTCTAGTACAGCCTGGGCAATGCAGCAAGAATCAGTCTCAAAAAATTAAAAAATAAAAAAAGTTTTCTCTGTTTGAAAAGAAAATTTGCAACAATACATATTGCAAAATTGATTAAAAATTAACTTATTTTAAATAGACACAATAGCATACAGTATAGAATATCCAATTTTATTAATTCTATTTTGAATTTATCAGTAAAAAATAATTTCATAATCCAGAAATAATATTTATTTAAAAGTATTTTAAAATGTTATTTAATTTCAGACCATCCAGAAACTTAATCAAGTTAAGCAAAGAAATGTAAAAATATGATGAGCTAATAAAAATTAGAGGCTTTTACGAAGGAAAGTAAGATTTTTATAATTGAGACATAATATTGAAGAATCTATGATGGTAATATAGTAAAAGGTTCTAATGAAGGATGTGATTGACCACCCTGTAATTATCAGTACAGAAAATTGACAGGCTAGAGATACCATTGTCAGAGAGTAGGAATGGGTGGTACAAGCTGCCAGCCTTCAATTTGCTTCAATAAGTATTAAATAAGTTGATGTGAATAATAAAAACATAATGAGGGTGATGCATTCAGCAGACATTTTTTGAGCACTGACTATGCACAATACTATTCCAGGCATTATTTTCATAATGAATACACCACACTGAACAACACGATGCAGAACAAAATGTCACTGCTTACTTGAACTTGAAATCTAACAAAAACGAACAAAAATAAAGAGTATATGTGATAAATAAGACTCCTCCTCTTACAAGCAGAATAGAAAAAGGGGAATTGGGAGTGTTGCAGTAGGTAGGCAGGCCTTAATAGGTAGGGTAATAAAGATGAGGATTCAGTGTTTTATTGTAGTTAAGGAGTGGAGCTGGTATAAGGGCTGGTATAAGGAGCTGGGTGGGGCTGGTGGAGGATTGTATGGTTATAACTTACTGCTGGCACCAACAGAGTGTGAGCTTTTTATCAACTTCTCCAGATGGTGGTACTTTGACACTGTCAGTACTCAAACATCAAAAATTGAGTTGGATTGTTTACTATAAATCCTCCCTGATGTTTGATGAATTTAATCAGTCATATTTCATTTAATGACATTTAAACTTGATTAAATAATCATTATGGTGCTCTATGAGGACTATAGCCTGAAAGGGGAAAGGATGGTAAAAATCCTGTGAGTTTCTTATTTAACAATCCAGCCTGGTGTATTTTGAGATACAAAATGAGTCTCTTAGTCATTATCAAAGATGTTTGGAATTTCAAAGTAGACAAGAAGTATGTGTGAAGCCTTGTTTTGTGGCTTTAAGCATGATCTGGATTTGTATTTTGGATATCTATAAGGCAAGAAATTCCTAGAGTTCATTTAGCCAAAAGGTGCTTCCTTGAACAAGTAATTGTTGCTGCCATTGCCTGGACCACACAGCCACACTATTGGCAACGGTGCAACAGAGTGTAAAAATGTATAGAAGGGTGGATTGTTGGCCAGGGCATCCAGGGCTAAGATCACTATCTGAAGTTTGCCTTATTGCACTGAACCTTGGTTCCTGCTCTTAATCATGACTTCTCCTACCTTTATTCTACCATTTGTAGTAATGACACTGCCAGCTATAGAGTATACAAACTCTCTTTTTTATTACTCAGTTGTTTGCAAGCCCTCCTTCCATCCCACTCTTTTGCCCCCAAGTAGCTAATGGCTTTTGGTGCAGTTAAGATCTTGTCTGCAGTGACTGTGTACAATGGCAGGGCTGGCGAGGTAATCCCCACGGGCAGTCAGATAAATATTTATTGTGTTCATTCAAATATGAAGGTAAACTGTGACTGATAGTTTATTCATCCAGGCACCAAATAGAACATATTAACTCTGACTCCAAAAAACGTAACAGTTACAAATTGACTGTAGTAATGGGAAGAATAAAAATATAGGCTACAAATTATGTCATTGACTGATTGGTGTGTTTCTTAATTTATATGATATTTTCAGTTTATTAACTAATGGATATTACATATATTATTTTTATGTATCAAATATTATGTTGAAAATACCTGATAGTTAACACAATAAAATTCCTCAATATACTAATGATGAACTGTTAATATTCCCCTCGTAAACCAGTTAATCAATTTCAACTTTATAAATTTCTAATGTAACAAATACAAATATATGACTTTTGTAACTTACCTGTAAATTAAAGTTGTCTTTTATTACTAATATCCTGTGAAGTAATAATTTTTTTCTTAAAATTATTTTGAGTGTTACTAATATAGCTACATCATTTTCTTTGTGATATATGTATGTTCTTAGAAAAGTAATATCCAATATTGTAAAAATATATTTAACTGGAAAAGTCATAAAAAGAAAAGAGGGATGAAAATACAGATGAACAGGTGAACATAATCTTTCTGAACGGCAACTGTCTAACTTACATGAAAGTCCCCAAATTATGTATCTTTGACCACAAAATTGATTTCTACGATCTTATTTTAAGAAAGTAATCAATAAATAAACAAAAGTTATTTTGTTTTTCAGTAAGTTAATCAGCATAAGAATTGTGAATATTTAGGAAAGTTTAAAAAGTCTAAAAGGCTTTTGATCATTGTTTTGGGGGTTAGTGATTGAAAAGTATGACTACTGCTACTGTACTCAAGCTCAAGAACAGGTACTCCAACAAAGAACCTATGCCACAGAAATCACTGTGAGTAACTGACTATGAGTAACTGACTTTATTATATAAAGGACAAGATGAGAACCAGGAGTTAGTTCTAAGCAAAGGAGGCCTTGGTTTGGGAAGGCAAACAAGTGTTAAAGTAAGTCAATAAAAGACTGATTTTAGTGAGCAAAAAAGTGAAAAAAAAAAAAAAAGCAAGCAAGCAAGAAGAAAGATACAAGGAGTCTGAACTAAAATTTAGAATTGTGATAAAGCCCAAGGATGGGTGAGGGTGAGGATCAATAATATATGTTGATATTATGGATTTATCACAGAAAACTACAAGGTAATATTCTGTATTCCATGTCACAAGATAAGAATAAATGGCAACATGTCAAATAAAACTATGTTCATAGATTAGTGATCTTGCTTGGTATATTTTCTTCACAGTGTAATTTGATGCAGAGAGTGATGGCAACAATTCTGTTTTGGGAGGATTTGTGGATCCAATGGACAAAATTGAGGGAAAACACAGAAATAGGAAATGACATGGTCACTTTACAGTTGGTTTTTGGAAATCAGAGGAAAAGAAATTACCTATCACTAGTAACTTTCATTTTAAGTGTTACTGCCTATAATTTTTCATTGTTTTTTGTCCCTAGAAAAATAAATAAATGTATATATATATAAATAATCATTTTTCTTCATCCTTAAATCATATCAAAACACCTAATGTAGCATTCAGTATTAATTTGAACAGCACAAGTGACACTTTAGTCCAACAAAAACATAAACAATATTTTTCTAAGAAAACAAAATAGAGTTTTCAACTGCTCCATTATTTTACATAGATCAAATAAGCATAATTACTTTTAAAAGCTGACTTCTCATAATCTGCACAGTATCAAACCGTGGCTAGGTAATTAGGAATTATATGTCATATTTCTAATTCACTTTTTTTTCAGAAGGCTATAATTTCTCAGGAATTTACAAACACAACATGCAGATTTTTTAAAATTTTGTGTACTATCGAAAGGGTTTAAAATTAATATAAACAACTAATGATCTGAGGACAAAAAGTCCAAAACTCTCAAAAATAAGAAGAGAAGCTTGTTGCAATCTGTAATGTATTAAGTGGGCTTGTAGAATATGTCACAATGATTCTTTTGTCCTTTCTGTTTTTGTGTAAGTGGTAGCTAAATTTACAATTCAATTGAAAATTATGTTTTCAAAATTTACCTTGGCTCAGTCATTCCCTAATCTTCCAACCACTTATTTCCTGCTACAATGCTGTCTTTTCTTTTCTACCTAAATACAAGAGGCACATATCCTCTAATCATCTTAATTCATGTGGTAGAGATTTTTTCTAGAAAGGACATTAGTTATAGTCCTTTTATAAAATGTTCTTTTATGTTTATTTGGACCAATGGATTGAAAGGGAAAGTTGGTCAGTAATCTGGCTACTAAATTCAAATAAAATTTAAAAGAGAAACAGATATTAATTGTGCATCTGTTACATGCCAGGACCTATGCTAGTACTAAAAGTTCAAAGAAGAAGGAACAAATAAATGAAAAAAATTGTTTGCTCAGGGCAGATAATAAAATCCAGATAACCAAACAATATAATAAAGTTTAGTGTAAACTGAATGGTAAAGTTGGTACATGCGTTGTGTATTTTAGGGAGGTAGGTCTTAATAGAGGTTTTGATGGATGAACTTTTGAAGGGTGATTCAGGACTTGCCAGTCAGCAAAGAAGGGAGTGACATTCCAAATAAACAATACAGTGTATATCAAATGTGGCAGAATTGAAATAGGACAGCTTGTTGGGGAATACCCAAAAATTTAGTATTGCTTTGATTAGCAGGTACTGCTGGTTGCCTGTCCCAATGCAATCCCTGTTTCTTCATAGCTGGCAGAAGTATATTTACTTGTACTTAATTTCTGGTGTTTTTATGAGTAGCTACTTTCTCAGAAAGAGAAGTCCTTGCCGTATCCATTACTTTGGGGATGCAACACTGTATGTTCATTAAATGGTTTCCTTTCCTTCTTGGCTGCATTAGAAAATAACATTTCTCAGAGCTCTTGCAACTAGGTGGTGCCACTATAAAATAGTTACTATAAAATAATCTTTAGTTACAGGAAAGGCAGTTTCTGGCAGATACAATGTTGTGTGTTTCTTACATAGTTTAATTGCCCCAGTGGACTCACAGGAAAACATCTTCCAGCTCCTTTGTATCTGGATAAGTCAATGACCACATAATGCACAACAGCTCTTACACTGAAGTCTCTTATGCTATCGATAGAGGCAGGAGACAGTCAAATGCTGTCTAGTCATGGTGTCTAGTCACGGGGGGCTTACCTAAACATGCCCATGATGAAAAATTCCAGAGCTGGGCGCGCTGGCTCACGCCTGTAATCCCAACACTTTAGGAGGCCGAGGTGGGCGGATCACAAGGTCAGGAGTTCAAGACCAGCTTGGCCAACATGGTGAGACCCCATCTCTACTAAAAACACAAAAATTAGCTGGGCATGGTGGCATATGCCTGTAATTCCAGCTACTCAGGAGGCTGAGGCAGTAGAATTGCTTGAACAGGGACCCGGGAGGCGGAGGTTGTTGTGAGCCGAGATCACACCACTGCAGCACTCCAGCCTGGGCTACAGAGCGAGACTCTGTCTCAAAAAAAAAAAAAAAAAAAAAGAAAAAGAAAAATTCCATCCTTAACACATGTGCAGTAAGGGAAATAAATCAATGTGGAGTGGCTCACACTAAAGGTTCACATGCGCACTGGAAGAATGGGGTGGAGCCACCAGAAACTTGTGCCTTATGCTGGAGAGGAGCCTGGCCTCTTTAGCTCATGTGTGGTGGCCTGGTATTCAGTTTTCTGAGCTGGAAAACCTGTGTGCAGGACCCCTATTTTTGTTGAGAGCTTTCCTTTTGTTTAATAAATTCTTCTCTCCTCACCTTTCAATGTGTCTGCATGCTTAATTTTTCCTGGTCATGAGACAAGAGCTCAGATTTTAGCTGAACTAAGGAGCAAAAATCCTGCATCACTTTGGCAGCGTGGATGAGGACATGAGGACGGGTGAGTAAAATGAGGACACCCAAACCTCTTTCACTTTTGTTTCTGAGCTTTCTCATCCTTGGACATTTCCTGGAAGCAGAGGAAACTGCCCCCACCATTCCGTCACTCTCAGGAGTCAGGAATGTCAGCCTTGGTCCAACCCAGTTTTTTCTATGGAATTTCCCTTCTTTTATATTTTGTGACTGTAATGGAACCTATTTTTTCTTTTACAATATTGGGGGTGTTTTGGCCCCACCCCAATGCCACAGGCATGCACTTGGACAGATAGGCAAATGGCAGCTCCCCACCACACCGTTCCCTCCCAGCTGGGGTGCATGTTCATGTCTGCCGCATATGCATATGGTGTCCAACACCCACACTAGGATGGACTGAGTCACAGCCACTGCCTGGGCCCTATGGTGGTCTCAGGGACCCAGACCTCACTTGGCCAGCTGGCCCACATTTCCCACCATGCATCCATGAAGTGTTCCCCTCCCCAGGTCAAGGGGTCCAGCTCCATCTGACAGCAATTAAAAGCTTATCTCCCTATTGGAGAAACCTATTTGCACAAGAATAAGAGGTTTCTTCCCCAGGCATCTTTTTTTTTTCTCCACTCTGTCAGTAGTTAACCCAGCTCTATATTTAAGCTTTTTTTTTTCTTTTCTCTACCCTATCAGCAGTTAGCACAGCCTTGTATTTAAGCTGTTATTTTTTTTCTTTTTCTCTACCAAATCAGGAGTTGGTTAGTTGGTGAGAAAGTAATTGTGGTTTTTGCCATTACTTAGAATGGTGGGGACTGCAGTTGCTTTTGCACCAACCTAATAAAAGAGCCCTGTGAGTAGAGGGGGTTCAGTATGCCAAGGATTTTTTTTCCTTTTGGAAGGCATCTTATTACACCAGGACCCCAATTCACAGGACAGACTTTTTCCCCTCCTTGTTTGAGAAACACCCAGTTCCACAGCTTCACCTTAGCATTCAGCTTATGATAATAAGGCAACAGTCAGTCAGATGAGGGAAACCTGGGACTTGATGAGTCCATGCACCCCCTGAGGCAGTTCTTTCATCCCAAACTCAATTCCAAGCTTCGATTGAAGCCCTAGGGGTAAAAAACAACCAAACAAACAAAAAACTGGATCTGAGGGATCCAGAAGCAGATATCAATGAAAGTTAAAAGGTGCAGCACAGAGCACAGGTGAGCGTGACTAATTTCTTTCAATTAAGCCAAGCCTCTTGTTTCATGGGTAAATGTCTTGCTATTATCCATGGCATAAATGAGGTCTAGGAAATTCAAAGGCTACTGACAGCAGAGGGAAAGGCAGCATGTAGGTAAGAATGGATAATCTCACCCCTTAGACCCCCGTTATCATGGGTGAAAGCGGCATGTGAAACCTTGTCAAGGTTGCCAGGACTCGGGGATATAAGGACAAAAGAAGGAAAGACAATGCTTTTTCTTTCTATCCCTCATGTACCCCAGGGATGCCTGGCTCCCCTTTTTCTGAGTACCTGTTCATCTTCAGTCCATCCCCCTTTTGAATGTATCCTGAACCCCTAAGCCTTCTTTGAAAAAGAAATGCCTTTTTCCTCCTTTGTCCTCTCTTCACAGATGGGTGTGTCCCCATACCAAGGGACACTCTGCTTGGATGCATCCTTCAAACTGAGAAAAGTTAATATCTGAAACCTTAAACTAGTTTGCTTAGAATTGAGCTTGGGGGAAGCATGACATGCCAGCAAATGGGTAAAATATTTTTTTACCAGTCAAAATTTTAACCTCTCTCTCCTTGGGCAGAGTGGTAAAAGGAATGATAAGAATCACTGTTTATATTCTCTGTAAAGTTTTGATTAATGAAAAAGGATTTATGGGGTTGGTCTTAAGCTGTAGACAATCTAGTGTGCTTTTGGTTTCTTAATTGAGGCTTGTTGGTTTCACCTGTAAGGTTACTGCTGATAACGTTCAAAAGCCAGAAATACTGGCTGCTTGGCATAATTAAAGTTGGGTAATATGGGATTGAAAAGGACTTTCTTAAAGAGTGCTCAGCTTAATTAAAAGTGGATATTCAAGTTACAGGTATATTTGAAAGGACTTTATCCTTTTCTCTTCTTGGACCTTGCTTTGCTGGAAAAAGTTGTTTTTTTTTCTTTCTCAGTAGATTAAATTACTTCTCTCCACTTTGCCTTTCCATTATTAATGCATGCAGGAGAGGCCCTAAGATAACTTCTAATGCCCTGGGACTCCTTGGGAAAAACAAAAAAGTGCCATGAATTCCATTTTGGGAGAAACTTCTCTTTTCCTCATGGAACCCCAGGAATTAGAGGCAGATAGATCTCTCTCAAAATCTGTTTTTGTCTTCCAGCTATGCCTGTTTATTAGGCCCTAGAAACTGCACTATCTCCTAGGTCTGCTCTTAAAGAGCCCCACCCAGAGACCAATAATCCTATTAAGAGATTGACAAATGAAAAATTTTATAACTATTGTATCTTCTTCTGTCTGTGTAGTTACATATGTGTTGTGTGTAATGTCTATAAAAAAGAGTTCTTATTAATTGTCCTAAATAAAAATAAGTGCTTAGGTCAAATATTTTTGAGGAAAAAATACAAGCTGTAATGCTTTTTAGTTCATATGACTTTAATCTTTGAGAAATAAAAACAGTCTTAAAGATTATTGGTAAAACACAAATGTCATTACAATGTAAGTAGGTGGCCTAAATTATATGGGTTAGATACTAGGTTTACTAAATGTTTTTAGGTTATAAACTGCTTCTTTAGCTGTTGAGAATTGTTTCACCTGCCTGCTTCACAATTCGTAAGGCCTGAGGACATATGGAATTAACCACTCCCTTAAATATGCTGGAAGCAGTCAAAGTTTATTGGCACCTAGTGTGTAATGAAAACAACTTACCAGATTTTACATTAAAGTTAAAAAAATGCTAAAGTTAAAAAATTGTAACATGTAATTGAGAGCACTGAAAAAATAGATTTACATGCAAGGTGTGTAAGAATAAAATATGCTTTTAGAAAAAAAGATTATAAGAAGGCATGGAAATGTAAATTTTTGCCTAGGGTTAAAGGATTGTTTTAAATTAGATAAGATAAAGCTAAAGGTTTAAGCAAGTTATGGAAGGTTTCTAAATTTAATCTTGCACAAAAAATTATGTGTGTGAACACTAAATTAAAAAGGGTATTATATGGTTTTTCTGTAAATTGGGCATTGAAATAGGAGCAGAAGTTTTCCTTAAGGCATTAATCTACTCTTTAGTAAAATTTGTAAAGAGTTAAAAGGATTGATAAGAATCTTGCCTCATGGTCAAACTGGTTAAGATTGGATAGAATTGTCTATAAGGTTTTACTAGAAAATTAGGATTGATGGGCCAGGCATAGTGGATCATGCCTGTAATCCCAGCACTTTGGGAGGCCAAGGTGGACAGATCACAAGGTCAGGAGATTGAGACCATCCTGGCCAACATGGTGAAATAATGTCTCTACTAAAAGTGCAAAAATTAGCTGGGTGCGGTGGCACATGCCTGTAGCCCCAGCTACTTGGGAGGCTGAGGCAGGAGAATCACTTGAACCAGGAAGTTGGAGGTTGCAGTGAGCCAAGATTGCACCACTGCACTCCAGCCTGGTGACAGAGTGAGATTCCATCTCAAAAAAAAAAAAAGAAAAAAGAAAAGAAAATTTGGGCTGATATATTAAACAAATGTAAGAGAAAAATTTGGATTTATTTCCCTTGTACAAGATTTTCATGTAATAATATAGGATAATGGAAGATTTCTATTTGTCTTGGGGATACCCTGCCAAGGAAAAGAAAGAGAAGACAGGAGACAAATTGGAAAGCTAAGTATTTCCTGTTAATGAGAAAAGGTTTTTCCCTTGTTTTAAAATGTTTGAGTCATTTTGGCACAACAAAAAACTTATGGCAATCTGGAATTCTATTTCATAAAATCAAGTGTTTTAATCCTCTAGCATATTTAACAGTCTCCCCCAAATCAAATTTCAGCTTCAGCATTGTCTTTCATGACCCCTAGCTTTTGGATGCTATGGAAGGCCCCTGGAGCATCCAGAAGAGAGGGAAACAGGATTACCTGAAATGTGTAGGTATGTGGGATTGCCAAAATGATGTTTAATCTTCTTCAGGTTATATTTTAGTGAATAATAGTCATATATATTCCAAAATTGCATGGAATTTCTCAGGTTTGAAGTCTGAATGTATGCTATTAATCACAATTAAGGGTGTTATGTTATTATAAACCACAGAGATAACCAAATTACTCGGTCAATCATGTATTTGATTGTAACTACTCTGGACATTTTCTTATTTATAGGCAATTGTCTTGTTTTGATCCTTTTCAAAAGATGGTTTATAATCAACCATAGTACTTTGACAGTGGCTCTCAAATGCAGGTTTCTGACAACTTTGGAGATTGTGACATTGGAATAAAGAAAAAACTTACAAGACTCATGAGGGGCTGATATATTCACAATTATCAAGAACAATCAACAAATAGAAAACTGAAGTAATCTTTTTTAACTTTTTCTTAAAACATTTCTGATGTTGGTTTTGTCTTTCAGAGTCAAAGAAACTTTTATTTTGAGCTATTTACAGTCTTTAATAAGTGAGTAAGGTGGACTCCTGTGAACAAGATTTTCAGCATGTTTGTTTCTTTTTGTCTGGTTTCTCTAGAATTTGTAAACTATCTGTGAGTATTCTTAACTTATGGCAATATGGTTATTTGCATCAGTGCAATAAGAATCCATTTTCTTTTGTAACAGTACCCAATTAGAGAAACTATCTGTCAAGACTTTGACTGGAAGGGTTTGCTTCACTTTAAGGTGTCAAGCTCGACTTGCAGAGCTGATAAAAGCCCCTTGGGAAAACTGGCTTCATACTTTGTCTACACAGTACCCGTACAGGTTTCCTAACTGGCAGTGAGTTAAGAATGTCACTTTTTAACAGGCCCGGGAACCCCATATTCTTGGGAGCTTGAGAAGAGTGGAATTCACACAACTTATAGGTATTTGCAGGTACAAACCCATGGCTGGGCTTGGCTTTAAGAAGTTCTGTCTGAGATTGCTTGAGAAACAAACTTCCATCAAAGCCAATTTAAAAAGCCTACTTAAAAATAATTAGTCTTGCTGCATTTTATGCAAATAACCAGGCCAAGTGTAAGACTAAAGTTTATTTTGCAAGCAACCCAGTACTATCAGGATGTGTTTTGAACAAAAATGAGCACTCAAGAGACAAATATGTTCCAACCTTATCATACATTTGTCATTAAATTCTAGACTCATTTGTTGTTTTTTCGTTTTTATCCTACATTTTAAACTAACCCTGCTTATTCCTGTGAACCAACCAGTGATCTCTGGCTGCAGCTCAGAAGAAAGAGAAGGGATGGGCAATATACAAATCTGGATCAGTATTCTAGTTCTCAGCAATTGTCCTGTAAATAGTGTCGGGTGATGGGATTAAATAGGGTGCCAATAACCAGGAGAGTTTTTTGGGGGGAGTTGTGGAGGGGGGCAGAAAGTAAGACCAAGAGAGCTAACCAAAGCTAAGCACCATATAACCTAATCTTAGCAAGCATAACTATAGCTACCAGTTACCTGGGTATGTCAGCAGCCTCTGGACTTTTTAGCTGTCCTTACCTCCTTGTTTCCTTTTGACACATGTGTTTCAACAACCCAGTTTATCCCTTCTCACCTTCAGGCCATTGAATACCAAGCGTTCATGCAACTGAAGCCTCAAAACAATGACCCCCTTTTTATGGGGACCTTTAGATGAGCCTCTGAGGGAGATCTGACTGCTATTTTTCCAAAACAGCACACTCTGTCAGCAGGAAGCAGTTAAGATTATTCATCATCCTTATCCCTATCTTTATTCTAATTGCAGTTAGATGGACTTCTTTCGAGAGGAAAATGATAGAGGCAGGAGACAGCGAAATGCCATCCAGATCATTGTGCACAGAGGGCTTCAGTAACCCATTATACTGACATTTCTTTACTGCTTAAGATTCTTCAGATTGATTACTACTTTCTCCATGTAGAGTCTGACCTTAGACACCAAATACCCATAAAATGGGATAAACGCTTCCTCTCTGAGCTATACAAAATAATCACGCTGAAAGTTGGAAAAGCTTGAGGCTATCACCACAATGAAAATCAACAGCCACAAATTCAAAAACAAAAGGAATAGGAAGAAGCCTAATATTTGGTTAGCCTTTACTATTCACTAGACAAATCCTAGGTATATTTTTTGTGCACAACATTATTTAATTCTTATAAAAATACTGTATTAATCTGTTCTCATTCTGCTAATAAAGACATACCCCAGACTCGGTAATTTATAAAGGAAAGAGATTTAGCTGACACACAGTTCAGCATGGCTGGGGAGGCCTCAGGAAACTTACAATCCTGGTGGAAGGGGAAGCAAACACATACTTCTTTATATGGTGGCAGGAGAGAGAAATGCTGAGCAAAACGGGCAAAAGTTCCTTATAAAACCATCATATCTCATGAGAACTCACTCACTATCATGAGAACAGTATAAGGATAACCTCACTCATGATTAAATTACGTTTTGCCAGGTCCCTCCCATGACACGTGGGGATTATGGGAACTACAATTCGAGATGAGATATGGGTGGGGACACAACCAAACAATATCGAATACTGAAGGAGAAAATATTATAATTAAATTTTTACAGAGAAAGGATATAGGGCTTATTAATAATAAGTAACTTACCAAATCACTGAAATTCATGTTTATGAAGGAATTTGTTAAATAAATAGACTGTTATATTTTTTATACAAAAGACAACACTGAAGGCAATATTTTAAGAAGGGAAAAATTGGTTTCATATAATTTGGCTTCAGACATTATAATACCATATATATGTGTGTGTGTGTGTATGTATATATGTATTTATATTTCCATAGAATTTGTATGTACACACATATATGTTTGTATGTATATGTGCATATGCATACATAATTCAGAAATTATAATATATAATATTTTTTTATAATTTCTGAATTATGCAGACACATATACATATATACATACATACATATACATATGTATATGTATGCTTTTTTATATAAAATTCATATAAATTATCTTATTTAATATTTATAAATATTTTGAAGTTGAATATATCTTTATAGTATAGGTGAGAAAACTATGGCTCAGAAATTTTATATTACACAGGCAGTAAATGAGCCACCTAGCATAAGAGCTAGGACATTCTGATTCTACATCCCACATATATTTTCCTATTCTGTGTTTGTGCTTAGCTTGGATAAATTTTTTTATTAGATATTAACATATTTGTGTTGTAGTCTTATCTGTTCCTCAATATCATGTGGCAATGAAAAATACGATTCTACTTGCTCGTATTTCAGTGTTGTCATCTCTAATATCCCTTTCAACCTTGTATGTCTTTGTTCATAATTTAAGCTTAGATAGGTGGGACTGATAATGTCACACATCATTAGCTCTTTCTTATATCACTTGCATTTAAACCTTATTTTTCTAATTTAAGTTGAATATTTAGGTCACAGTTTTAGATAGGGTCACTGAGGGAGTTATTCTGATATAAGATTTTATTTTTGAGTCACTCATATCACATTCTCTTTCACAATTAAAACAGCTCTGCTTATACAAAAATAACTCCTAAAAAGTGTGTGTTTATTCAGATTTTATAACATTTTAAAACTACAGAGGTTTTTATTCAATATAGCTATGATGTAACAACTTATGACATGCTTAACAGTGGGCAGAAGTAGCTGTCATACTATCATAATTTATTAGCCTCCCTTTTGGGATAAGAAGGATGATGGGCTAACATTGGAGCAGGAGAAAATCAGCCAACTCATTGCCCTGCACCTGGGGCTTAGCCTGTTGCTAGTCTCTGTAGAGCATGCACAGTAATAAATCTATACTGATTAATTAAGTGGTGCTGCCCATTGCTCTTCTTTTCAATGAACAAAACAAATGCACTCTGAAATTTCCAGTTCCCAGTCAAGCTATTATGTATCTATGCTTAGATTTGTCTTTCAATTTTCATTCAAGAAATATTTACTGGGCAGCTTTTATGTGACAGTCAAAATGTACAAAAATAAATAATCTCTGACCTCTGAATTTTTTAATTCTAGCAGAAAAAGGAACAAAGAAACCCATGGTTACAGTACATTGAGGAAAGTGTTAAGAAAGTGGTGATGGGTTATATAGGATGTACTTATTGGAGCATAGAAGAAAAACTACCTTAAGGATACAACTGAAAATAAGATGCATAAAGGAGGACAATAAGGGTTACAAAAATGAGTCAGAGCATATTGATTTAGTATTTGCTACAGGCAAATGCCCTTCTTTGGATTCTGTTGCAAGGGAAGCATTAGATGCTTTGGGAAAATGCACAAACCTTTCAGGTCAGACCTTGAGATTTAGGGCAGGTGAATAGCAACATCAAAGTATTTGGGATATTTTCATTCACTCATTCATTCATTTACCCACTTGTATATTCATTTATTTATTTACAAGTTGCTAGAATAAAATTGAGCATATCACATGTGCTAAAAAGATTCATAACCACTATAAATCATATGTGGGATTGTTTTTGTTGTTTTCCTTGTTTGCAATGAGGAGCATAAGAAGTAGAATTGACTGAGACAGGGAGAGACTCAGCATTGCAGTGTGAAAACACTGCAAACACAAAAACTTTTAGTTTCATTCCAAATTGAAGTGATGCTTTTTCTAAGACTATATTACTGTGCTGAGGAATGAGCCGGCTAAACAGTTCTATCTCTGATCAGCACACCCAATTTGCACATTAAGTCCATTCTTCAGCCAAGCCAGTTGCCTCTGCTGGAGGAACCCAGCCCAGCTTATGGCTGTTGCACACTGCAGAAAGCACATTTCTTCTGCTGGAATTGCATTCGGCTCTACTATATCAGATCACATCATCTAAATGGCTCTCTCAGATAATGGTGTTACCAAGCTCTGCCTTAATGGAAATTTAACTCAAAGTCTTTCATCTGACAACCTTGGAGACTACAAACATGTATTTTGCAGCATATTTTAATGGTGTTGCACCTTTCACCCTTCTAAGCTCTCTTTCTGGAATGCATCTCTGCTAGTGAGAGGGCTTTTGTGGTAGGAACTAACTGAAAAATCGTTCTGCAATACTTGTTAAATGGAAGTAGGAGTAGGGAGTTCCTAGTGATTCCATCATTCTTACCAAAATTTGGATGATTATCTGCAATACAATGCATGCTAGCAAAGCCCTGTTGGTGAGTCAGAAGGCCCTCTTCACTGTTCTGCTGACAGTCATGGTGGGTTCACGTCTGCATATCTGATGTGCCTAGAGCAAGTTGATATGCTACCTCTGGCTCATTCAAATTAGAGCTCAGTGTCACTTATAAAACCATCAAACACCAACTGCTTTTCCTCCTGAGCTTGTGCCTCCAGGAAACCAGTATCAACATGTAATAACTCCTGAAAGACTATTTCAAAGCCTGTCCTGTAGTTCTACTTTCTGGATGAGCACAAGTTAATCTTGACATAAAGACTCAGATTCCTTTGGGCTTTAGCTATGTGGGGTTGTTTGATGGGAGAACTATAATAGAAAAATCAAGAGAATGCTTCACAGCTTTAAAAGGATTCTGAATATGGAACTAAGTCCTACAGATATGGCAGAGCTAAAATATACTGGTTTCCAATATGAAAAGAGACCACACTGCCTGATGCTGTTCATCACAATCTCTATGAGGATCCTTTATGTTTGAGGGACTGCTGACACTGCTGCTACTTTATATGTGAAAATAATTTATATGTACTACTTACTTTATATGGGGAAATAAGTCCCAGGTAAATGTGTTATATGTTACCAGCTCTGCCTTTCCAACTGCAGTTTATTGTGGATCTGCCATTTTTAAGGGCTGCATCTGCTACTAGCAAACACACTACCCACCTGTATGCTTTTTACCTTGCATGATTTTAAAATATTTTTGTTTAATGAATAGAAACTTTCTAGAAAAGTTAGCTGTAAGGAACATCTTATTTTTGCACTGGCTGTTATTATATAATCAAAAATGTATTTGTAGGAAATACAAAGAAATGGCAACTTTTCTGAAAAAGGAGATAACACCGTGTCTTTTCCTCTCGACATTTTTAGTCTTGCAGCATGCTGGCAGAATTATGTCAGAAGAGATTTGGAGTCTAAAATATACATTTTGTCCTTTGCTTTTTTCATTTTTATTCTTGTTTTTAGAACTTTCATAACCAGAAATCTCTGCTATAGAGTGGACTCTTGGCTAAAGAAGTATCTATAAACAGTGGACTATAAGGACTTTAAAAAAACATTTAACTGCTCGTTTTAAACAGAAACCTTAAACTGGATTCTCCCACTTTTCTCTGAATATAAAATTTTGTTGGATTTAAATTGCTATATATTTTATTATGCTCACAATTTACTGAACTCCAGATTTATTGTTTATTCATGCTCCAGAAACTATAAAACAAATTTTGAAGAAATAACTGGACATATGGTCAGTCATTATGATTTACGGTTATCAGATATTTCTCATGAATGTCAAACTGTGATAAGAAGTTCACTTTCCTACATTAAGATGTTGTCCAAAGACACATGGTTTTCATTGGCTTAAACTAAAAAATTCCTAGCTGCTCAAGGCATAGGATGTTCGTAACAATTGTCGGTGATACCATTAATAACCAATGATGCCGAGGATACTTTCTCTGAGATCATCTCAATCTCATTTTCTTAATTCCAAAAGCATATATAACTGTTTTCATACTTTTTATGTAACCATGAAATAAGTCATATATGAAGAACAGGTTCTACACCAGGAGTTTCAGAGTAACAAACTACACAGATCTGAACAGAAATTTTTAGGAAAGTCAATGTCTAAAACTTCTAAAATAAATAATGAAATCTTTGAAATAAAGTAACAGATATATAAATAAATATGTGTATTAATAAAGATTTCTTTGAGTAGTACAAATCAAAGAAAGAAATTCAGTTTAAATCAAAGGATTTGATCTTTCTACTGTAGACAGTTTGAGGATACATAGCACAGTGGCATTAAAAAAAGAATCAATGAAGAAAAAACAACTAGAATGATAAAAACAAGGTACTCTAGAAAAGGCCAGCTCAGACAATAGTTTGAATCTCTGAGTTCACTAACAAGCAGTGATTGTATTCAATATCACAATTGCATTCCTTTGGATGTTTAAATATATTCACATCCCATTTTAAATACACTGGAGAAATATATTAATACATAATATATTCAATAATATTTTTTATCATTAAAAATTCCCTAATTTAAATTTTTATGTGAGCAATGTATGTGTTAATTAGCTTGATTTATCCATTTCACAATGTAAACATATATTAAAACATCATGTTATAACCATAAATATTTAGTTTTTACTTCTCAATCGAAAAATAATTAAAAAATAAATGATTAAATGGAATTTCTCAAGCCTCAGTTAAAAAACAAAATAAAATACAATTTTATTTTGTATATAGCTTTTAAACATGACTTTATTATGTTCTGAATTATATATTACACAAATATCTGGTTAGTATAATTTTTTAGCAATTTAAGAAATTTACTTAAAAGAGCTGCCTATATCATGCTTTATATAGAAATTATAATTTGTTTTGAATGTATATCAATTAAAATATATTTTACTTACATGTCCTGATAACTGGTACATGAACATAAGCATACATTCCAGCATATGAGAGTGTAATTTTTAGAGGGAGCAAAATGGCTGACTGGAAGCAGCCAGAAGGAACCTCTCCCACCCAGAAACTGGGCATTGGGAAGACTGGTGCACCCCTAGCAGATCTTCAGAGGGAAGGAATTGAGAGCGAACAGAGGGAAGACAAAGATGCTGGGCTGAAGTGGGAGGAAGCTGGGAACCATGCATCAGGCTATCACACACCATGACTCATTCCTGGCCCGCAGCAACTCCTGGGGCAGGGGTGAGTTGAGCAGGCAAGCCACCGTGGGCCTCTGGAATCCCAACAGGTGGAAACCCCTTGACCACCATATACACTTGAATTCTCAGGTAGAGCTGTTCAGAGAAGTGATAGAGGCAAAACTCCAGCTGCAGCAGAGCCAGAGTGTTTGGTGTTGGGGTGCCTGTAGTGGAGCGCAGCCGGGGTCACCATCCCCTTAGGCTAGACTTGCTTCCATAGGAGACTTTAGCCCTAGGAAAAGTATCAGACCTGAACTCAGCAGGACGATCTTGCCCATCAGACCGGGCCAGTAAAACTTGAGCATCTCTCAGTCTGCTGGCCTCTCCCGGGGTCCCAGCAAGCCCTCAGCTTCTTGCAGTGCAGCACCCCCCCGCCGCCAAGTACTTCCTGTGCCTACATCATGGCTCCTGGACTAGCAGATCATGCCTGACTGGCAGAGTGCTCCGGCAGAACAGCCACAAGGGACCCACCAGCATCTTTCTCCCACTGCAGCCTCTCTATGCTACATGCACTCACCCACAGCCACCCCCCCATCACTTTGCTGGTGTGTGTGTGCATAGGAAGGCCTGACATTTCCTTCTCCACCAACATGGATGTGAATGTGCACCCTGCCATGTCACTGCTGCTTGAGTGAGTGCACCCCATACCCCTCCCCTTGCTGCACTGCCATTGTTGTCAGACCCCGTCAGACCCATAACCACCAGCACCCCACCCGTGTGCTGAAACTGCCACTAGCATGATACAAGGCATGGATAAAAGCAGACAACCCTCACCCTGAGTGGCCATTGCAAGCTGCAAGAACATTAGCCGGGCGTGGTGGTGGGCACCTGTAGTCCCAGCTACTTGGGAGGCTGAGGCAGGAGAATGGTGTGAACCCAGGAGGCGGAGCTTGCAGTGAGCCGAGATCCCGCCACTGCACTCCAGCCTGCAGCCTGGGCGACAGAGCGAGACTCCGTCTCAAAAAAAAAAAAAAAAAAAAAAAAAGAACATGCACAGAGAGGCAAACACCGCCACCCGCGGGGGAGCCCCTCTGTCCTTGCTGAGCCATACTCTTGCTACAAATGCCCACATGGAAGCCAGCATGCCAGCACCTGCTAGCGCCCTGCCATAGCCAGGGAGTGTGTATCCCATCACGCTGCAGCTGCAGCTGCAGCTGCAACTGGCACATGCAAATGTGGATAGATTCTGATGCCACTGCCCTACGAAGTGCTTTACCTGGCACTACTTTTGGAATGTTGTGCCCAGCAGTCCAAGAGGGCCTTGGCTGTTCTAGCACAGGAAGTTCCTAAATTGAGGAGCCAGAGGTCAAAGCAGGGGCCCTATACCAGTTCCCCAAAGATAGAGTACAGAGGTCAGGGTTCCTAAGCTGAGCTTTGGCCTCCTAAATTCTTCCAGAAATAAAGCCAGTCATCTGAACTCACCTTATGCCACAGTCAAACCCCCAAAGTCATCAAATAGGTTAAAAAACAAACAAACAAAAAATACTCAAAGAATTCCAACTTTGAAGATTGAGAAACATTAGCCCACAAAGATGAGAAAGAACCAGCCCAAAAACTCTGACAACAAAAAAGCCAGTGTCTTCTTTCCTACAAACAACAATAGTCCTCCAGCAAAGGTTCTAAACTGTGCTAAGATGACTGAAATGACAGAGATAGAATTTACAATATGGATAGAAATGAAGATCACTGAGTTCCAGGAGAATGTTCAAACGCAATCTAAGGAAGCTAAGAGTCACAATAAAAAGATAAAGGAGCTGACAGACAATATAGTCAGTATAGAAAAGAATGTAACCAACTTGACAGAGCTCAGAACCACTACAAACATGTCACAATGCAATCCAAGTATTAACAGCAGAATTGCCTAAGCTGAGGAAAGAATCTCAGAGCTTGAAGACTAGCTTTCTGAAATGTGATAGTCAGACAAGAATGAAGAGAAAAGAATTAAAAGGAACAGACAAAACTTCTGTGAAATACGGGATTCTGTAAAGACACCGAGTCTATGAGTCATTGACTTTCCTGAAAGAGATGGGGAGAATGGAAGCAGCTTGGAAAACGTATTTTAGGATATCATCCATGAGAACTTTCCCAAATTAGTTAGAGAGATCTGCATCCAAATTCAGAAAACGCAAAGAACTCCTGCAAAATACTTTATAAGAAGGTCATTCCCAACACACACTATCATCAGATTCTCCAAGGTCAAAATGAAAGAAAAATGTTGTTAAAATGAACTCAATATGGCCTGAGAAGGACTCTGCACCTCTATATTTGAGTCTCTGTGGACAAACTACAACCTAATTTAATAGGTAGACAAAATTGAGAAACTAACTTGGGAGTGTGCACCTGTAACAGTGGCTGGGTCTTGGCCAATCCCAGTAGCCATACGTCAACAACTCATACACTGTCAAGTGTTCAAACTGTGCTCAAATAAGGCAAACACCGAGCTGTAACCAATCCCCCCATTCTGTGCCTCACTTTCCATTTCTGTATGTAACTTCCCTTTTTTTGTTTTGTCTATAAATATTCTTCCAGCATGTGGCTGCACTAGTCTCCCTGAGTCTGCTGTGACACTGGGGGCTGCCCGATTTGCAACCAATTCATTGTTCAATTAAACACTTAAATTACTTAAATTTAATTCGGCTGAAGTCTTTCTTTTCTTTCTTTCTTTCTTTCTTTCTTTCTTTCTTTCTTTCTTTCTTTCTTTCTTTCTTTCTTTCTTTCTCTCTCTCTTTCTTTCTTCCTTCCTTCCTTTCTCTCTCTCTCTTTCTTTCTTTTTCTTTTCTTTCTCTCTCTCTCCCCTCTCCCTCTTTCTTTCTGTCTTTCTTCTTTCTCTTTCTTCTTTTATTTAAAAAAAAACAAAAAACAATGTTAAAGGCATCTAGAGAGAAAGGACAGGTCACCTACAAAAAGAAGCCCAGCAGACCAACAGTAGACCTCTCAGCTGAAACCTTACAAACCAGAAGAGATTGAGAACCTGCATTCAACATTCTTAAAGAAAATAATTAAAACTATTTTAAAATCATATACAACCTAAAAATGAGCCCATATAACGAAGGTAATCCTAAGCAAAAAGAACAAAGCTGGAGACATCACACTACCTGATTTCAAACTATACTACAGAGGTAGAGTAACTAAAACAGCATGGTACTGGTACAAAATCTGACACAGAAACCAATGAAAAGAATAGAGAGCCGAGAAATAAGGCCACACACCTACAACTAACTGATCTTCAAAAACGGTGACAAACCAATGTAGAAAGGACTCTCTATTCAATAAATGATGCTGGGACAACTGGTTAGCCATATGCAGAAGGTTGACGCTGGACCCCTTCCTTACACCATATAAAAAAAAATCAACTCAAAATAAATTAAGGATGTGAATGTAGAATCCAAAGCAATAAAACTCTGGAAGACAACTTCTGCAATATCATTCTTGACATAGGAACTGGCAAATATTTCATGACAAAGATGCCAAAAGCAATTGTAATAAAAACGAACATTGATAAATGGGGTCCAATTAAACTAAAGAGCTTTTGCACAAAAACCACAACTACTAAAAGAGTAAACAGACAACCTACAGAATAGAACATATTTGCAAACTATGCATCTTACAAAGGTCTAATATCCAGCATCTTTAAGAAACAAGCAAATTTACAAGAAATAAAAAGCAAATCCCATTAAGAAGTAAGCAAAGGAAATAAGCAGACACTTTCCAAAATAAGACATACATGTACCAACAGGCATAGGTAAAAAAGCTCAACATCACTGACTATTAAAGAAGTGACTATCAGAACTACAATGAGATATTGTCTCATGCCAGTCAGAATGGCTATTATTAAACAGTCAAAAAAGGACAAAAAACCAAACACCACATGTTCTCACTCATAGGTGGGAATTGAACAATGAGAACACATGGACACAGGAAGGGGAACATCACACACCGGTGCCTGTCGTGGGGTGGGGGGAGCGGGGAGGGATAGCATTAGGAGATATACCTAATGTTAAATGACGAGTTAATGGGTGCAGCACACCAACATAGCACATGTATACATATGTAACTAACCTGCACATTGTGCACATGTACCCTAAAACTTAACGCATAATAATAATAATGAAAAAAGAAAATATATTAAAAAAAACCAGATGTTGTCAAGGTTTCAGAGGAAAAAGGAATGTTTATGCACTGTTGGGAGTGTAAATTAGTTCAAACAATGTGGAAAGTAGTATGAAAATTCCTCAAAGAGCTGAAAACAGAACTACCACTTGAAACAGCAATATCATTACTAAGTGTATACCCAAAGAAATATAAATTGTTCTATCATAAAGACACATGCATGCATGCATTCATTGAACTATTCACAATAGCCAAGACATGGAATCAAGCTAAATGCCTATCACTAGTAGACTGGATAAAGACACATAGAGGGGAAAACACACTGGGGTCTACGGAGGGTAGAGGGTGAGAGGAGGGAAAGAATTAGAAAAAATAACTAATGGGCACTAGGCTTAATATCTGGGCAATGAAATAATCTGTATAACAAACCTCCATGACACAAGTTTACCTATGTAATAAACCCACACTGGTATCCCTGAACTTAAAATAAAAGTTAAAAAAAAAGAAAATGTGTCACATATATACCATGGAACACTATGCACCAATAACAAAGAATGAGATCATATGTTTTGCAGAAAATTTGATGGAGTTGGAGGCCATTATCCTTATCAAACTAATATAGGAACAGAAAACCAAATACCACATGTTCTTACTTAGAAGCGGGTGCTAAATGATGAGAACACATGGACAACAAGATGGAAGAAACAGACACTAGGGCCTATCTGAGGGTGGGAGGTGGGAGAGGAACAAAAAAGTAATTATTGGATTTTAGACTTAATACCTGAGTGACAGAATAATCTGTACAACAAACCCCCATGACATGAGTTTGTTTTATTTTTAGGTGTAATTGTTATTGGGTACATGGTGAAATAATACATTTCAAACTTTGCATGACAGAACATAGTTAGTTATTAACTTATTTAAAAATTTTATTTACTCTTCTTGCTTAGTGAAAATTAAATGTTGGGCATTAAATAATAAGACTAATATTTTCTCCTAAACCTCAGACTTAAGAAAAAAATGTTTTATAAATAGCCTATACAGTCAGTTATTTAAAAAATGAAATTCAGCTTTTAGAAATGGAAAATTTATTGAGTAAACAGAGACTCTCCTTGTCCTGCCCAAAGCATGTAAAATATTTTGAGTAAAGACAGACCAAACTCCTCAATTTACGTTGATAAATATGCCAAATATTGACATTTGTCTCAAGTAATATATGTTAAATTTAATGGGAACCAAATATCCAAAAACCAACATTTGTCATTTTATACAAATATCTGGCATATTTTCATTACACTTAATCTCATGCTGTTAGGTTGTAGGCTTTTTTTTTCTTTCCAATTTACTAGTCAGTTAAATGAGAGAGGATTACCTCTACTGGAAATTGAACTGAGAATGATTTGGCTTCCTGATATTACTTAATAACAGCTTGCAAGAAGTTAATGCCATTCTGAAACCCATGGCCAAGAGTAATTATAGCTATAAAGTTAGTATAAAAATAGTAGAAAAGGATAAGTCTCTGACTATGAAGCTGTGTCTATATGCAACATAATGGAAATATAAGAAAAAAGGGAGTGTATCCATTTGACAATATCACCTGCCAATGTGATTCAGCATTCTTATTTATGGTATTTGAACCTTAATTTATAACTCAAATAGAAGCAGGTGGTACACATTTTCAATCTGAATTGTCCCAGTGTGATTATCACTAAGGTACACGAATGTATATATGTTTTACCAGAAGCAGCATTTTAATAATTGACTTGAGTTTAGAGCATTCTGTCAGAAGACCATCATAATTAAAACCATCATACCTTTAGGAAGGAATTCACAAGAATATACTGACCATTGCTTAATTTTTATCTCTAAAATAGAATAAAAAATTAATGCTACATCATTATAGTCTAGGCAAGGTCATGGTTAATTTCTATATCACATATTACATAATGTTTTTCTCAACAACAACTGCAAGGCTGACTCTAGACTTAATTTTATTAAGGAATAAAAAAGTAGGTTCTAAAGATTTATATCTTTCAAAGCCCTATCAAACTGTGAAAGATTAGGTTGCCCTCTATATATCATATTATATTTTCTAGAATTGCTAATGAGACTTCAGATGAGGTTTAGTTGTAACTTCTCAGCTCTTTTGGCCTCCACATACTACAAGACCATAAGCTAAATATCAATTGAAGAGCTCTCTGCCACCTGAGTTTTTGGTGAAATTGCATATAAACCCACATTCAATAGAATTTTGTCAACCTTCAAAGATGTTGTCCAATTCTCAGGGGTCTACAGTCTCTGAGCCTTTTATTTACCCTAATTCTAGTGTTTCTCAATGATGGTTGTCCCTCTCTTTTCAAATAGCAACTCTTCCTCATCTTCCATGTCATTCCACCACCTTTCTTCTTCACATCACTACAACAATTAAGCATTTCACTCAGAGTATACGTGCATCCAACAGCATGTTCCGAGATGGTTTGAGACCCTAATAACTGGTCACATGTAATGCACTTCAACTTCTACCCTTTGTTGGCTCTCTTTCTCTTCTTCCTAATATAATTACTTCCTTAA
The DNA here is from genome assembly GCF_000001405.40 of Homo sapiens. Taxonomy (NCBI): domain Eukaryota; kingdom Metazoa; phylum Chordata; class Mammalia; order Primates; family Hominidae; genus Homo; species Homo sapiens. Next base: position 129,332 of record NW_009646200.1, on the reverse strand, counting down.
TGTCTTTGATATTCTTCTGTAGATTTGGTACATCATGTTACTCCATCCTGAAAAGGAAAAAGGGGATAGTGAAATTCACCTTGTAAAACAATTAATTATCAAAATAATATTCCACAAAATATAGTCTTCCCAAGGAGCTTATGTGGTAGGTTTTAAGGAAATAGCATTTTGTTGCAACTGTTTGCAAGTTAAATCACAATTAATAGACTTTCTTCTATCAAAGTAAGCATGCAGAGCTCACAAAAATCAAGGAAAGCTAAGTTAGGGTAGCTAAGTTTTAATTGCCTACATTCTTTTAAGTCTCTATTTTTATTATCATGAATTGCAACCAAATTTCACATGTTCTCATTTATAAGTGGGAGGTAAGTTATGCAAAAACATGGACACATTGAGGGAAACAACACTCAGTGGGGTCTTTTGGAGGGTGAAGGATTGGAAGAGAGAGATTAGAAAAAATAACTAAAGGGTACTAGGCTTAATACTTGGGTGATAAAATAATCTGTACAACAAGGCTTCATGACACAAGTTTACCTATGTAGCAAACCTGCACATGTACCCCTGAACATAAAATAAAAGTTAAAAAAATAAAATTTTTATTGATAAAATCTCATGGTGTTTTTGAATGACTTCAGCCTCCATTAATTCATTCAGCAAGGGTTTCAGAGTACTGATGATGCATCAGGGACTATTTTAAGTTCTATATATCTGGCAACAACAACATAAATAACCAAAAATGTGTTAAAGGGAGACAAAAACCTAAATAACATACTATATATTATGTTCCATACTAATAAATACAAAAGAAGAAAATAAAGCTTAAAGGGACATTGAAATGGCTGAAATTAGAGGAGGTATAGTATTTTAAATAGGAAGGTAAGGAAAAGCTTTAGCATGTGCAGGATGAAAACAAGAGAAAATTTTCCTATTTCCACCGTAGGCCTCACACTGAATAAAAAGCAACAGAAATCTACTTCTGAGAGGAGGAGAAGTTTGAGGAGAGAAACTCCCCACCACGATTCAGGCAAACAAGAATGACTAAAAACTCAGGGTAAAATACAAAGACTCAAAAAAAAAAAAAGTCCTTAGACATCCAAAATGCCATCCTCAACACAAGGCAATCACATCCAACTGCTAGAAGAATTTGAAGACTATGACGTCCTGAAGGTCACAATATCAGGAAAAAAATCTCAAACTCAGCTCAACTACTTATTGGTTTGGCACAGTGATAGAAACATTGAAGAAGAAGTCCACTTATTTCAGAAATAAGTGATCTTGACTTCAGTGTCTCATGTTTCTCCTACAATGTTGACATCAATTAAAAAACATAAGCTCATACAAATGCAAGCAAGCAAACAAACAAGCAAACAGAACACAAAAAGTCAATTGTACTAGTCTCAGAGAGATATCTAGATGTTGAAACCATTGAACAGAAAATTTAAAATAACTATGACTATATGTTTCACAATTTAATGGAAAAGGTAGGCAATAGGCATGAACATTTAGATAATGTTTTTAGAAAGAATAAACCTATAAGACAGCTAAATAAAAATTCCATAATTAAAAAAATGCGAGAGATAAAATTCTTTCAATAGGCTCACCGGTGAATTTAACACAGCTGAGGGAAGAATTGGTAGATTATAGGCCAATAGAAATTGCTAAAAACTAAAATGCACAAAGAAAAATGATTGACAAAAAGCAAGCAAACACTGCCACTGCAAAAACAGATAAGAGCATCCAAAACCGGAAAAAAAATTCAAACACTCTAAAAGATGTGTCATTGGATTAGAAGAAGGGGAAAAATGATAAAATAGCAAAAGTGATATTGGAACAGAGAATGTTTGAATTTTTAAAAAAATAATAAAAGACATCTAAACCCAGATTCAAGAAGCTAAGAATAACACAAGCAGAATGAATACCTCCAGAAAACCATACCTAGGCATATTATAGCCAAACTGCTAAAAATCAAAAATAAAGAAACATGTCTTTAAAGTCAAGAGAAAGGTAAAAAGAAAAGACAGTTTACACACAAAGTAGCAAAGATAAGAATTATACCAGACTCTGTTTAGACACCACACAAGCCAAAAGATGTGTGAGATCTTTGAAGTGCGGAAAGCAGAGGAAAAAACAAAAATCTTTGTCAACACAGAATTCTGGACTCAGAAAAAAAGGTATATTTTTTAAATCAAAGCCTAGTAACAACAGTTTCAGATGGTCATAATCTGAAAGAATTAATAACCAGCATTCTTGCCCCATAGGAACTGTTAAACAAAGTTCTTCTGAGAGGACTTTGGTTCTAGATATGAATCTACACAAAGAAATGGAGGCTCTAGAAATTGTAAAATAAATAAACATTATTTTCTTATTTTTAATCACTTTTAATGATATTTGGCCATCTGAAGTAAAATTAGTAGAAATATCACATGCTTATAACACTTCTAAAATAAAACATATGACAACAATAGCATAAATATTTGGAGAGAGGGATTAGAAAAAATATGATTCTGGGAGGAGAGGTTTTATTTCACTATGTAGTCTCTGCTGCCTTTAAAATGTATTGAATTTTAAGGAAAAAAGTGTTTGCATTAGTTAAAATAATAGGTTATGTTGAAGGAATTGCCCAACTTATAAACATTAGTTGCTTTGTACCACACAATTTTATATTTTCAGATATGTATTGGGTAGCTCTTCAGGGCTGCTTGTTTTTCATGACTCAATGGCCCTTATCTTATCACAGTAGATGAAGAGAAAGGATGCGCTGTCATGCACAGGATTTTGATTCCCTTTGCCAGTCATTGAAACGTATCATATTCATTGGTCAGAACAAGTCACATGTCTCTGCTGCCATTCCTTAAATATATGTTGACTGGTAAGTATAAAAATTTGTAAACCAGGTATGGTGGTTTACATCTGTAATTCTAGCACTTTGGGAGGCTGAGGCAGGATCACTGGAGCTCGGGAGTTTGAACCAGCTCAGCCAACATTGCAAAACCTGATCTCTATTAAAAAAAAAGTGATAATTTATTTTCCTGGGAAGGGGAAAAAAACTAGACATGCATGAACATTGGTAATTTTTGCCATATAGCTTCACTAGTGAACTAGCGATTAAATTATACTCAGCCTCTTGGCCCATGAAATATGAAATTGATGCATTTGCAGTTCCCTAAAAGCATGGAAACATTTCTATATTTGTCTACCTATCTGTCTGTGTATCTATCGATCTATCTATTTATCTATCTATCTATCTATCTATCTATCTATCTACCTATCATCTATCTACCTATCTATCCATTGATCTATCTCATCTATCTCTGGGTTAAGCATCTCTAATCTGACAATCCAAAATCCAAACTGTTCCAAAATCTGAAACTTTATGAGCACCAACATGATGCCACAAGTAAAAAATTTCACGTCTGTCCTGCTGAGAGAAGAAGTAGTCAAAATGCAAAGAAAACTTTGTTTCATGAACAAAATGTTTAAAAAACATACAAAATTTTCTTCAGGCTATGTGTATAAGGTACATATTTATATAAAACATAAATAAATTTTGTGTGTAGATTTGGGTCTTTTTCTCAAAATATCGCATTATGGTATATGCAAATATTCCAAAACTTGAAATTTAAAACACCTCTGGTTTCAAATATTTCAGAGAAGAAATAATCTAACTATACCATCTCTATATATTATGGCTTCAATTATATAAAAAAGCCTGATAAAATGAGTGTGGCTAACAAAAAAATTACAGCCTTAACAAAGATTAAATAGCAGAATACATGTTCTAATTTAGTTGTTTTTATTCCTTTTTAAAGCCAATTTAGTCCCCTCACATTTCATTTAATGACAGTAGAAATTTATATAATATTTGGAATATATATGACATTACATATCCTAATGCTGCATGATAATTGCCACATGATGAACTTTAGTAATCAGTGCTTAAGATGTTAATATAAAGTTTCAGATTGTTAGTAATAACATTTTAAGAAACTGTAACTCAAAGTCCATTTAATTTTTAGACTGTAAATACTCCTGTAGTTATATCAAGTCTTATATAGTTTATTAGGAATTATCTTTATATAAAAATATATTTTTATCTGTCATCCAATTACCCTACTCTCTAAAATTATAGTCACTGATTTGGAATAATCATGATTGATTTTGTTTTGTTTTTAGAATATAAGTCAAGAAAACCAGAAACAAATCCTCTTACTTATCCAATTTTGACAATAAAAGTACTTCTATTTTTCCATCTTTTTTTTTTCTAATTACAATATGACCAAAGAAAATTCTTTTATTTTTGTAAAAGTTGAAGTATAGCACATTTCTCCAACTGTTCCTGCTAAGCTTAGAAATTAACAGACCTTCACATGAATTTATTGGTTAAAACATGCTAAACAGTTTCCAATATAGTGAACCTGCAGTATTAATTTCTTAAGAAATTGTAATGTCACTCCATTATGTGTACATCTTTACAGCCTGTTCAGCTTTTGCTTAATACTAATTAAATGGGAGATATGGGTAGTAAAAGTTGATGATCTATGTTTTTCATTGGCATGGACTTAGACATTCATATGCTACAAATACAGATTCACAAACACAAGCACAGTTATACATGATGTCTAGAATAGAAAAGAAGTGAATTAGAAATTTGTTTTAAGAACAAAAAACATAAAAGATAGGCTCAGAATATTATGAATAAGTGTATATAAACATATCTTCTTAGGAAGGCAGTGGATGAAAATTATTTGAAATTTTTTTCTTAATATTATATATAATTTCATTTATTCTTAAACTTGTTACTAATCATTTTTGATGAGAGGAGAAACAGACAAAATTGGTTTAATGGTTTTACAAGGATTGATTAAAATTTTGCTTGGCTAAAAACCCAGTTTTCATAATTTTAAATGCCATTCCCATGGAAAAATAGTCAACATTAGCTATCTAACGTTTGTAGACATTCATGGAGTAAATCTCCCACTGGATTATAATGCCCTTAAATTTTGAGACTAATTTTCTTTTTGTTTCCTACAGCATTTAGCATGATGCTTGTCACATAGGAATGTCTCCACAGATAGTTTTTGAAAGAATTAATAAAAACATGGTGGATGTAATTAAACATCATAGAATGTACTTATTATACATTTCTCTCATTAATAGTTTTAATTCAATCCAGATGTTTTAAAAGATTTGTGATTTCCTTTATCACACACTACAAAGAAATTCCCAGGCCTTTAAATGAAACTTGGAACATACTGAGAGTTTCTTAATTTAAAGATCATTTCCCGTGGGATTCCAATTTGCCACTGTGTGGACGTCTGGCAGAACCATTTTCACAAATTTATAATAGCAGGGTAAAAGTCAGAAATCATTTTAATGGTAAAAATGTGTTTCATAGTCAGGAAAATTATCTTTTATAAAGCATACTATAATTTACAGTAGTATGACAATTAGCATATCTTTGCTGGTATAGATTTCTTCAGTAATTATGTAGGGTTTTTTTCTAAGTTTCAGAAAAAAACCTTTTCTCAGGCAAATATTAAGATATCATCTTCTGTGCCATAACTGCATTTTGAGGGAAAAAGAATATCAAGCTTCTTTTAAAAATATAATAATGACAATTATTTAGAGGGCATTTACTAATGGTCACCCCAACTGTGTGAGAGGAGTCAGTGCTTTAACTCTCATTATTCAAAACTTATTAGCCACTGTTGATTCATGGGCAAATTAAGTACCATGTGGTTAAAGACCACTGTCAACAATAATATGAGATGTGTGATGGAAAATTGTATCCCTTTCTGTAAATGTTATTTTGTATAAAGTAAATTGAAAACATAAGTACTCTTGTGTTCCTACCTATAAAATTTTACATTTTCTTTAAACTATTTCTTTAGCATATTTTCTTCAATTGCCAGGTTGGGGAGAGGGGCATCTCATGATTCCATTTTTTACCAATGGGACAAAGTCTCAAATGGGTAAAATGATGCAAGGGCACACATGACTAGTAAATTACAAATTTTGAAATGAACCAAAAGCATTATTCTTTACATTTAGATTCAGGGTGACTTTCTTGATAGCCCCACAAATTTATGTTGGACTGAGTAGTACAGTTGCCAGGTAACATATAGAATGATCAGTTAAAGTTAAATTTTAGATTAACTCATCAATGTTTTAGTATACATGTGTTCTAAATATCGCATGTAACACACATAAACTAAAAAAAAGTTTGCTTACTTAAAATGAGAATTTAATTGAACTTAGAAATACATATTCTATGCGACGTTAATGAACTTAATAAGCAATGCTTAAAATGTTAATATAAAGTTTCAGATTCTTAGTAATAAAATTTTAATAAACAATAACTCAAGGCCCATTACTTCAATTTTTAGACTATAAATATTCATGTGTTTATATAAAAAACAGAATGATTTTTCTTTGTTTCGTTGGGTTTGGCTAAAACTCGCAACTCTAGTTGGGTAGGGATATATGAAAGACTCACGTTTAGCAAATGAACAAGGAGCATCTGATAGAAAGTAAAAACATTTTAAGATTGTTAGTAATCTGCTATAGATCTCTGATATATCCAAAACACTTTAGACCTGATTAAGAAACGATAAACTAAATAAATAAAGCAAATGAAGATACCTCCAGCAAACAATAGTCCACAAAATCAATGGTCCATTTTAACTTTATGGATTTCCACTTTTCTACAAGTAATATCAGCCTGTTCATTTGTGTTTTTGTTTCTTTTGCTCAGCAGTAACATAGTCATCTGCTCAGCAGAAGACATATTACACTCAGCTTGCGATATTGTGGCTCTGTGGTGCTCTGGACATGGAAGACTTAGAGCTGGAAATATAATCTCATTATTGATCTGGTTTCAATTCTAGCAGTGGAGGGAAAGGTGGATCTTTAGACTAAATCTTTATGGATGCAAGTTCAAGAGCCCAGACCTTGAAACCAGAAGTCATGGGTTCAAATACTGACTGCCACTTACTAACTGCATTAATTAAATCAGTTACATAGCTTCCTCTTTATGATTCTTAATCTGTCAACTGTGCTTGATATTATACTAGGCTTATAGAGTTTTCATAAAGAGCAATGACTAATTGTACATAATGCTCTTATAATGATTCAGGGAATATGGTCCTTTTATTACTATTGATATTATTAGACATTTAATCTACCATTTCTAGAAAAATTTTAGTTTTATCTAAGAGATAAGATTTAAAACATATAGCAGTAAGAATAATAAAATATACTTTTTTTACTACCAACATTAGACATTTGTAATTTACTGAAAGTAAAATAATTAACAGCAGATGTGATACAATAAATGGAATTAAAAATTAGGCACCTGTTTCCCTTTTGTACCTGCACCAAGTCCACTGTCTTTTGTGTTTATAAGAGTGTACCACTCATATGTATACATTTACATATATAATTAGCTTTACATGCTTAGAAATGCTTATCCATGCATGCTCTGTGCAGCTCTGTTCATTACTTGCACCATTTGTCTTGAGACCTATGGATTGTTTTTGTAATCTCAAAATAATCTTCAAATTCATATCTATGAGTATTTTAAGTTATATTCTTTATAGGAACCAAACTGGCAAATAATAAAATTAATATTTCAATATAGCTAATATAAATACAGAACTAAAAATAATCTATATTTCTGAAGATATATGCAGCCTTAATTAATCAATAGTAATAGGTAGTAAAATATTTGAATTAGATTCTGGCAATTCAACATGGTTTTAATTTCTAAAAAGTAGTTTCCAAATTACTGCTACTGCCTCAAAATACAAAGAGAAGAAGGAGAATTGTGTAAGTAGTACAGGAGTTGAACCAAATAGCTCTACACTAGAGTATCATTGGATGTGTATTCTGAATTCTTAGCACTTCACATAACGATTTCCACATGAGGGGCATTAGCTTTTTTCTGATAGTTTCTCTCCACTTCAATCTATTTCTTCTTAATGAGTATTTTCATCAAGCAGAAGTAAGAGAAGTAATATACAAGCATAAGATTTCTGCCGTGCTTTTTACATTGTCTTCTCTTCTGTGTCTCTGTGTCTCACATCTCTCTACTTTTCTTTCATAAGGACACCTGCCATTGGATTTATGTAACCCATCCTAAAAAGGATGATTGAATCTCAATATCCTTAACACAGTTACTTCTGCAAAGACTTATTTTAAAAATAATATTATTTTAAAATGATAAACAATTGTATATAGGCATACTTTAGAGATTTTGAGTATTTGGTTCCAGACCACTGCAATAATATGGATATCACAAAAATGTGAGTCACACAAAATATTTTTCCAATGCATATACAAGTTATGTTTACATTATTCTGTAGTCTATTAAGTACGCAATGACATTATGTCTAAAAAACAGTGTAATTATGTTAAAGCAATTTGGGAGGCCAAGACGGGTTGATCAGAAGGTCAGGCATTCGAGACCAGCCTGGTCAGCATAGTGAAACCCTGTATCTACTAAAAAGACAAAAAAAAATAGCCGGGCATGGTGGTGGGCACTTGTAATCCCAGCTACTCAGGAGGCTGAGGCAGGAGAATCACTTGAATCCGGGAGGCAGAGGTTGCGGTGAGCCGAGATCGTGCCATTACACTCCAGCCTGGGCAACAAAAGCGAAGCTCTGTCTCAAAAAAAAAAAAATATATATATATATATATATATACACACACACATATATGTGTATATATATATATACACACACACATATATGTGTATATATATATATACACACACATATATGTATGTATATATATATACACACACATATATGTATGTATATATATATATACACACATATATGTATATATATATATATACACATACATATATGTATATATATATATATATATACACTTTATCGCTAAAAAATGCTAATGATCATCTGAGCCTTCAGTAAGTCATAATCATTTTGCTGTGGAGGGTCTTGTTTTTTTGTTGATTGCCCCTGACTGATCAGAGAGATGGTGGCTGAAGGTTGGGGTGGCTGTGGTAACTTCTTAAATAACACAATAATTAAGTTTGTCACATAAATTGGCAAGTCATTTCTCTGTAGCATGCAATACTGTGTAAAAGCATTTTAGCCACAGTATAAGTTCTTTCAAAAGTGGAGTCAATCCTCTCAAACCTTCTTGCTGCTTTATCAACCACGTTTATAAAATATTCTAAATCCCTTGTTCTTATTTCAACAATGATCACAACATCTTCACCAGGAGTAGACTTTATCTCAAGAAACATTTTTTTTTGCTCATTCATAAGAAGCAACTCCTCATTTGTTCCAGTTTTTTCATGAGACGACAGTAATTCCATCACATCTCAAGGATTCATTTCTAATTCTATTTCTCCTGCTATTTAGACCACATCTGCAGCTACCCACTTCTCTTAAATTATGGACCCTTTAAAGTCATTCATGAGATTTGGTCTCAAATTTTTCCAAACTCCTATTAATGTAGATATTTTGACCTACTCATATCAATCACACACGTAGTTAATGAAACCTAGATTGGTGAATCCTTTCTAGAAGTTTTTCAATTTACCTTGCCCAGATGCATCAGAGTAATCCCTATCTGTGACAGCTATAGCCTTATGACATGTATTTCTTAAATAATAAGAATCAAAATTTGAAATTAATCCTTGATCCATAGGCTCCAGAATGGATGTTGTGCTATGAGGCATGAAAACAACATGAATCTCTTTGTGCATCTGTATCAGAGCCCTTGGGTGACTAGGTGCATTGTCAATGAGCAGTAATATTTTGAAAGAAATATATTTTTTTTCTGAGGAGTATATCTTAACTTTACTCTTAAAATATTAAGTGAAGCATGCTGTAAACAGATGCGCTGTCATCCAGGCTTTATTGTTTCTTTGATAGTGAAAAGGCAAAGTAGACTTAGCATAATTCTGAAGGGTTCTAGAATTTTTGAAATGGTAAATGAGCATTGGCTTCAAGTCAATGTTAGCAGCTGCATTAAGCCCCTAATGAGAGAGTTGGCCTGTCATTTGAAGCTTTCTTCTACCAATAGAAGGCAGTTTTGTCTACATTGAAAATCTGTTGTTTAGTCTAACCACCTTCATCAATAATCTTAGGTACTTCTGGATAACTTGCTGCATTTTCTACATTAGCACTTTCAGCTTCATCTTGTACTTTGTATATTATGGAAATAACTTTTTCTCCTTTAACCTCATGAACTAAATTTTGCTAGCTCCCAACTTTTCTTCTGTAGCATCCTCACCTATATCAGCTTTCTTGAATTGATGAGAGTTAGGGCCTTGCTCTAACTAAGTATTAGCTTAATGGAATATCGTGGTTGGTTTGATCTTCTATCCAGACCACTTAAATTTCTCTACATCAGCAATAAAGCTGTTTTGCTTTCTTATAATTCATTCATTCACTGGAGTAGTACTTTTAATTCCCTTCAAGAAATTTTCCTTTGCATTCACAACCTGGCTAACTGCTTTATACAAAAGGCATAGCTTTTGGCCATTCTTGGCTTTCTCCATGCCTTCTTCACTTAAGCTTAATCATTTCTAGCTTTTGATTTAAAGTGAGAGATGTGACTCTTCCCTTGAAAACTTGGAGGATATTATGGGGTTATTAATTGGCCTAATTTCAGTATTATTTTGTCTCAGAGAAAAGGCAGGCCTGAGGAGAGAGAGAGAGGGAAAGAGAAAGGACCATTCAATGGAGCAGTCAAACATTTAATTATGTTTGCTTTTATGGACACAGTTTGCAGTGCCCCTCTCCCCCGAATTACAATAGTAACATAAAGATTACTGATTACAGACCATTATAACATATAAAATAATAATTTAAAAGTTTAAAATATTGTAAGAATACCCAAAATGCGACACAAGATACAAAATGAGCACATTGTTGGAAAAATTGTACCAATAGACTTGCTTGATTCAAGGTAGCCACAAATCTTCAATTTGTAAAAAGCATAAAATCTACTGAGCACAATAAAGGGAAGTGTAATAAAATGAGGCATGCCTGTATTAGTCAGCTGATATAAGTATTCCTACTGTGATGTAACATAGATTATCCTTGGTTTGCATAGTTTTGATATTAATGAGTTTTAGTTTTCATGATTTAGTTAAATAACATCAACCCTCCAACAACTTGGTTTCAATTTTGGAAGTCCCACTGTATTTTCTGTGAAGAACTGCAGAAGGTACAAATTTGGCTGTTAGCTTGTTATTCTACTAATCACTATGTAAATAACTGATGCATTTACTTCATTATCAATGACTACTGAGTCAATTCTTTTTGAATATGTCAGTGATTGGCCACTGCTCATCCGTTATTCATTTCACATCTAGACACAAAGCTGTAGTTGTATTATGTTGCACTTTTGTCTCTCAGTGAAAAACCGTCATACAATTTTACAAAAACAGATAATCAAAAGACAACATTAATCATCCAAGATGAAAGTGCAGCAAAGAAACTTGATGTCTAGAAATGAAATTCGAATAGAATGAAGTTACAAAAGAAATAGCTAATTGCAAAAATGTTGATATTGTCTCCATTTGGAGAAACTAGATATGCAGCTGGAGAAACTTAGTAAAGGTAAATTTACCCACATGCATAAATAAAGTGGTTATAATGAAAATAATAAAAATGTCTCAGAGGACTGGTAGCTGCAACAAAGTTCACATTAAAGAAACACTAGGAGATTTTTATGACATTGAAAGCTGAAAGGACAAAATGTTGGAAGATAATAAGAACTTCAAAAGGAGTATGACTATTGGCCTAGCCATGGAAATGACACACCATGTAAGTTATATGACCAACAAGAAGGTAAGCACTATCCAAGCTACTGTAAACCCAGAAATAGAGCCCTTTAATTTTCAATAAGTCAGAGTATAATGACATTTATCCCATCTTCATTAAATTTCAGTACTAAGTAAAAATGTTTTACTATTTTTATTCGTGTATAATCTTGTAATTAACAGTACGACAAAAGTTTTAAATTTTATCTTGATAAATATTTTGATATGATTTTACAAGGACACAGGTGAATTGTAAAGTTTCCCATTGGTTATTAGGATTGTTTTGCAAGGTTTCAGCAAAACAGTGATAAGAAATATTATAGTAAATGGTTGGGAAAGCTGAATAATAATCCATCAAAGTCAGAGCCTAAGGTCTAACTATGTCAAAAGGAAGACGGTGGGATGAAGGCCACTGTTTTCTACTTCAGTTGACCTAGGGTTGTTTACTTTCAACTGTTGTTTCTTGGTAACCTCAAATATTGTCTGATAAATGTGGTTTATAAAATAAGGCAATTACCACTTAATAAAATAGTCTGTCTTTATCAAATGCATATGAAATAATTCATACAATAGATAAGTAATTTTGGCATAAAAAACAATGTATGTGCTTACATTTAATTAGATTAAATTTTTCAGTGATTGTAATATACCCTCTAGTGTTATGTACTTTCAAAAAGAAAAATATATGTTGACATAGTGCTTTTTTATAATAGCTTTATATTTGGTAATTATTGGCTGGTGTTTAGATTTAATAAGACAGAAATTATTTTTGCTATCTGATATTTATAAAAAAAGAAAGAGAGAATAGACAAAATTTAAGAATAAACATACACAAAATATAAATTAAATAATCTGGTTAAAATATTCCTAAGATTTCTTCACTTTTAGAGTTTAATTCTTTATTGTATTTTTGGCTTAAACTAGTTGATGTTTATATCATTACAAAATATAATTTTTTGTTTTACGAAAGCATTGGTGGTGCAACATTTCTTAAAATAATCTGTTAAAGAAATAAAAGCCATCCGTGGAACTATGTAGAGCTAATCTACCTTTGACTCCTGCTTGAAAAATGTTGAAAAATATATTTTATTGCCTACTTCCCCTCTCTCTACACCAGTTTGCTCCTTGGGATTAAAAGATTGCTCCACTCTTCTCCTTGGGGTTTCCTTTCAAGGTCTTACTCTTCTTTTTACTTTTTAGGGAATAATTATGTTCTTATCTTTCATTTCTAACACACTTAATCTAAATACATTTTCTCTAGAGAGAGCTTGTATGATTTATTGGAAAAAAGCTGCCATGAACCCAGGATTTGGGGCAGTTAGCCACACTGATCTTCAGAGAGAGCTCTATAATGGTTTTTAACCTCTGTTTTGAAATAAAATGTACATCTATTACATTTTAATGAAAGTGCAACTCCATTACTCTTAACGGAAAAAACTGCAATTACTTTTGCACCGCCTAATATTATTGTGAACATTTTGCTATTTTTATTTTATTTCACTTTTTTGAATAAAAATACTGGGTGAAGTAGTGTTTTAAAGCATTGTTAAATATGTTGTTCATACAATGCTGCATTAAAACACATTCAGTTGCAAATTGTGGAGCATGTTTTTTGTTTTTGATAAGTCTCTTTGAAGCTTGTTTGTATTTTCATTCTAAATCCAGGATATTGGTGGGAATATAATATTATGTTGGTAGAAAACTCATTCAGATAATTATGTTACAAGCTCCTGTATGTTACATAATTCTTACTTTCAGGTGGAATTTTACTGTAACACTTACTTAAGACTGCTGGATATTGCTGTTAAAGTCTTCTCTTGAGCTCCAGCAGTCAAAGCCAAGGAAACTGGCACATGTTCCTCTATAATGTAGCCTGGGAGACTCTGATATTATAAACACTCTATCGAGCAATCTTTCTGAACTCTGGAAAACAATTCAAATAACATTCAAGAGGTTACAACAATGAAAGGCAAGTCTTTTAGAACTAACATAGTAGTTTCAGAATAGAGAAAAATGTTATTTTGATTACTTCTAAACTGTTGAATTTTAAGGGATTTGCTAGTGCTTTAAAATATTTTATCTATTGCTACAAATTATGAGTTATAGCAGTACTCATGACAGAAAAAAATACCTCCAACAAATATGCATACAGGAGAAAATACTCGAAATCTGGAAAAGTCTGTGGGGCAACACCATTACCTAAAAAGTAAAACAAACATGTAATATAAATTTTACTAATGTAATTTATTTGTCCAACATACCTAAACTATTATAATTTATACATGTAACCTAATTTTAAAATAATTAATGAAGCATTATATATATATATATATATATTCAACTAAGTCTTTGTATTATATTATATAAAATATGTCTCAATTCAGAAACATTACATTTCAAGTGCTCAAGAGCCACTGTGGCTAGTGGTAACCATATTGAACAGATGTAGGAATGTATTCTTCTCTCATTACAAATATATATTTAGAGATAGTCTTCTTTTTGGTATATATTGAAAAAGTGACGTAATATTGTCTCACTTCCCCAATTCCTTTACACATGTTCCTAGGCAAAAGGATGCACAATACTTTCTTCAGCATTTAATTATGCATCTGGTTTCAGTATGGGCTGCACACAAAAAAATATTTTCTCCAGAATTGTAAGATTGTAAAGCAATCTTTTCTGTGAAATATTCCTGATTAGCCACCAAGCACTTTGAGTAGTTTGTCTTAGAGTGGTAATCCATCAAAATGCTTTATTTAGAAAAATTGAAGAATTAAGTAATTTATATAGAAATAATCACTTTTAAATTCCTTCTTTTACTAACAGGCAATGATAGATTGAAAATGCACTAGTTTTAGGTTCAATTCAGACAAATAGGCATGTCTAAATCCTAGTATGTTGGGATATATGAACTTGAGTGAGTTATCTAGTTTTTTGCTTGGTCTCAGTTTTCTAATTTATAAAATTTGATGGATAGCTATATTAAATAATTGCCCAAAGTCACCTATTGGTAGTAATTGGTTAAACTCATTTTTGAGTCAGTAAAGAGAACACACATACATATAAAGAGTTTAAAAATGAGTTATTCAGTAACATAAGAAAACATTTCAACAGACATAACCTGTGAAGATGTGGTTTTGTAGCAAAAAAAAAAAATATATAATGCTATAAATGTTCAGAGAAGGATGATCACAGTGTAAACAGGAATACACAGAAAGACATCATAATAATGGTCACATTTTTGTCTTGGTCATTTAAAAAAAATTTTGCACTGAAGATAGTGTGCCATCCAAATCGCAAAATAGCTTGAATAAATGCATTTCATCAGGAAATCACATGGTATGTTCAGAAAAAAAATAATCAGATCTACCTGACTGAACTTTTGGGAAGTACATTTAGCACTTCTGGAAATAAAGTAAATCCATATTGTAGACATAAATAATAGATTACCTATTTTAGGTTGGTGGAGATACAATAATGAAAGCAGCCTTTAAGAAAGAAATTCTAAAAATAATGTCCACATTAATTCTAATATGCTCATTTTTTTCCTGTCTTGCATTTTCATTTTTAATGTTGTTACTATTTAGAGGGTTTATGTGATTAGAACATTGAGTTTTCTATCCTTGATGGGTTCAGGTTCTGAAAATCTGCTCTGAATTAACTAAAAACAATTTTATACATAATATCTCTAATTCTACCAATAATAGTGTGTGATAGATATTATTATCCTGCTTAATATGTAAGGCAAACAAGGCATGGGAAGGTTTACAAATTTTCTCAAATTCACACTTCATAATATAATGAAGCTAGCAGGCTGACTTAAGTGAATTTGATGGCAGAGCTACTTTATCCTATCCTATGTTATTAGATGTTCCTCTATCTCTTGGACACATTTATGTTTACCATTTGTGAAACTCACATATCTATTCCTGCCTTGTTCTTAATAATTCTTAATGCATCAATGAAAAAAAAAAAACAGTACGATTCAAGGGATTAATGCCCTAGACTCACCACAGGGTTAAATAATAAAAAGAAAGGTGATCATTCTCACTTCTGTAGGACAACAGCTATTCAAGAAAAGAATCTCCCACTCATATGCCCAACTGTCACAAAATGTTTAGGTTCTAATTATTTATTGCATACTTTTAAAAAATAACAATTCAATTATGGAGAAAACATTATCTAATTTGAATTTATTTCTTACATCTGTTATATTCTTATATTCAAATGTTTAAACAGGTAAATAGCATAGCATTCTATCTGCATTTTCAGATAAAATGATAGCAAAATAGCAGAATTTCACATACTGTGTAAAGGATTATTATACGTTGGCTCTTTCTATCATGGTCTGTTTGTGCAGGCTGGTTGACAAAAGATGAGTAGAATATGAGAAAAGATGAGTAGAATATGAGAAAAAATTGAAAAATTTAGTATTCTCAATAAAAGATTATAATTTTTTATTCAGACTCAGAAAGGAAAGATCAAAGAAAATTCTCAGTGTTTATTTTGGCTAAATTGTTAACTGCACTTGCTGTTTTATAAGATGAAAGAAAATGGCACTCATCATAAATGCACATTTTAGACATAGCCATATAGTCATGTGTATGTGCATAAATTGTCTGGGGCTGAATAGAAAATAAAAATCATTATCTTATTCAGTGTAATGGAAAGTATGAGTCATTCATTTCCTTCAGATGCTTGTTCTCCTCCTTTGTTTCCTATTTTAGTTAATTGTAACATCCTC
Source organism: Homo sapiens (assembly GCF_000001405.40). Classification (NCBI taxonomy): domain Eukaryota; kingdom Metazoa; phylum Chordata; class Mammalia; order Primates; family Hominidae; genus Homo; species Homo sapiens. The sequence continues at coordinate 112,785 of NW_009646200.1, read as the reverse complement.
CTCCTAGCCCTTCAGCTTGTAAAATATGAAATTATTATATCTTTATAATCCTGTATCATTCAATCTATACCCTACCATTATTTCCTAAAACTTTCATGTCTCTGTACCATTTTTTGTACTATTTCCTCAGCCCAGATTTGTATCTTCTTTAATTCAACATATATGTATTATTTATCTTTTTCAGAAATATATGATATAAATTTTGACTTATGATATCTTTTCTCACAGTTTTACATAGTAAAAGTCTTTTTCCTATTTTGCATTCTGCTAGAATCATATCAGTTTAAGACCTTTAATATTTTCTATCTTAATTTATCTCACACCTCATTATATCTATTTCTTATTCCTCCTTCTGTAGTGTAAGATGCCTGAGAGGTTTCATTACGCAGCATAAAAATTCAATAACTGTTAATTGACTGGTTGAATAGTTTACTGCATTTTTCTAAAGTAGAAACTAAATGGGAGTAAACTAGACAGCTTTGGTGACTGCATTGGTTTGTTTTGTTTTCTTTTTAAATTAAAAAATATAACATCTCTAAACAGCTTTCTTACTATAAACAATAATATAATAAAGTTCAGGATAAATGATATTTAGTTCTAAATAAAGGTGTCATTTATCAGTTTATTTCTGTTATATTTAATATTACTTGTTCAACCAGTCACTGATTAATGAGGTAATATTTGAAAAGATTCCTGTGGGATCTATTCAAAGTTGTATTTTTAGCACTTCTTTAATATTTTAAAATTATTTTCTTAATGTTAAATTCCAATTTTACCATAAATTGGTTATTCTTATATAATCTTATGTCCAAAAACCTTTAATAGTAACAAATTAACAGGTTGAAATGGCAATGACCTATGAAATGGAAAGGAACTGACAATTTGGAAAAGCAAAAGAGCAACCTACAAAGTAAAATACAATGCATAACAAAGAAACATTTAAGGAGGACTATAGAAACTATGCCTTTTGAATTTAATAACCTGTAATGGATGAAGAAAACTTTTCTATCATGTGTTTTTAAAAACTGAGATATAAATTTTACTTATCTGACATACATTTTAAACCCAATTGTTAATAATAAGAAAAAAATAGAAGAATTATGCAGCTATACTATACTTTTTCTTCCTTTTTTTCTGAAACAGCATCTAAAAGTTCCACTCCCTGACAGGGTATATGAGATTTTCAGTTTCCTGGCAGATGTACTGTCCTGAGGCAAGGCCCACAGAATTGGCAAATCTCCTCCCCTAGGCCCTGGTTTTCTTATTTCAGAAAAACATTCCAAAGACTGTGAACTCACAACAGTGGTAACATCTGTGGATATCCTTCTTGAATGCTTTGTATCAAAAAACACAATAAAGTGGCTATTTAAAATAATTTACCAATATGAAATCTAATTGAAAATATAATAAATATAGCAGAACAATGTTAATGAAGTATTTAAGAAAAGAATATAAGAAAACAGCAACTTTTTTCATCAATGTAAATTTTTGTATCTTTTTATTTCTAATTTTAATCACTGAGTATGCATAATTTCTTAAGTAATACAAGTATTTCCCTATGAAATATTTCAAAATACATAAATTGGCATTGGGGAAAAGAGACTTACAAAGGACCCACTCATTCTTGTAGTGAGTGAAACGTATCAAAGAAAACCCTAAATATTCATAATTTGGAGTGATTTGAGCCACAGTATAAATGTGGTATATATACACCATAAAATACTACCCAGCCATAAAAAAGTGAAATCCTGTCATTTGTTGCTGCATGGATAAACTACAAGGTCATGATGTTCAGTGAAAAAAGCTAGACATAAAAGGAATACCACATGATCTCAGTCATTTTTGGAATTTAAACAACCGGATCTCATAGAAGCATAGAATAGAATAATGGCTAACTGAAGTTGAAGTGGGCTGTAAAGAAGGAATGATAGTAAGAGATTGGTGAAAATTATAGTTAGATAGGAGGAAAAAAATTCTGTGTTCTATATCACAATAAGATGACTATAGTAAACAATATTATCATGGGTATTTCAAAATAACTAGAAGAGGGGATTTTGAAGGTTCTATCCACAAAGAATAAATAAATTTTGAGGTGATGGATATGCTTAATACAATGATATGATTATTAAACAATGTATATTTGTATCAAAACATTACACTGAATCCCATAAATATCTGCAAGTATTACGTATCAAGTACAACAAAATAAATAAAATATTTCCTGTATCCCATGTCAAATGTAAATAAAAATAAGTAGGGCTGGAGAATTTGCTGAACACAAAGCAAGAACAAAGACATCTCAAAGATTGTCTAATATAACATATCAGAGGAACTAGCTCATATCAATTGTTGCCAAAATCCCTGTAGTTTTCCAAATGCAGAAACTGACCAGCTTCCAAATTTTTATTTTTTCAACACTTTAGTCAAGAGGAGACTTTTCCTGAACATGGGGTATACTTACTGTATGACAGAATGCATATCAAACATCGAATGGCATATTATGTTTCCCTTGAGCCAGTGATTGGCAAGCAAGTAATAATTAGAGGTATCAAGATGAGTTCAGAGGAGAGAACTTGCTGTCACATCTGTTTATTTTCCAAAAGTAAATACATACATATATATATATACACATACACACAGACACATATATATGTATATATACAGACACATATATATACAGACATATATATACACACACATATGTATATATATGCACAAGGAATGATACTGTAATAAAATCTTACTCTTGAATAAGAGGTCAAGAAGGAAATACAATGCTTTGTTGTGCTATTTGATAGTCCCATCTTAAATAAAGAGACTTTCATAATGTTTCCTCATGTTGTATTATATTTAACACAAAATAGATGAATAAATAAACAAAATCAAGTATTAATTTAGGGAGGATTTGAATAAAAGGTTCTTCGTGTAGGGATAATTATTCTAGCATCGTAATTTTGTAATGAATTAAATGAACTTCATTTTTAGGCTTCTTAGCCAAAACTAGAAAAAACTTTGGTCTTATTAAAAGTCTGGTAAGAACGAAGGGAAGTTGAAGTTCCAGACATGTAAATTCCAGTGCATATGTCTTTATATTTCCTTAACCAATTTCATTCTTGTTGTAACTTGAGAAACAATGGAAGACAATTCAGTATCTTCATATAAATTCCAATACATTTATAATTTAAAAATATATATCTAAAAATTATAGCAAACACATCCTTAATGAAGGCATATATAAAATGATAAACATCAATAAATTTCTGTTATAAATATAGTTACCTTCATTTATAATCCATATCATATTGCATTCTCATTATACATGGAAAGCTTATATTGGATGTTACTTTTATTCTTTGACATCAAAGTTATACTAACATTTTACCATACCTGTTTTTGCACAAAGAAATCTATGACAATTTATTACCTCCTTTAAACTGTGTTTTCTCTGATGTTCTATGTTAGAAACTTTAATATCAATCTATGTTCAGGCTTGACCAACACTTGGAAATCTGTTTTTGTCATAGATAGAGAAAGATAAAACCAACAAATATATATCTCGGTGTTTTAACAGGCCAATCTTGATGATCTGGTTTTGGTATTGCTGTCATTATATTGGATTTCTTTTTTCCTGGATTCAAAATTTATTCTCTTTAATGCTGTGCTTCCCTTGCCCTATACTCTAGTTACTGGGTTTCTTCTTTTACCTACTTTGCTTTGTGTCCTCTTTGTAACTGGGTGTATTAGTGCCTAATTCATACATCCAATCATTAGATCTCCTTTATGCCTTGTGGCTGTGATATAAATAATGAAAATAAAAACTTTATTAATTTTTTTAATATGGGTGTCTTTGTTTATATGTTTTATATTATATATTTTCTATGATACCCATGACAACACCATGCTGTAGGTATTGTTGTTTCCATTTTATACACTTAATAATCGAAAAATGTATGTATTGAAAGGCTTAGCTGTTTCACTTACTGATACCTAATTGGTAAGGAAAGTTTCTCACCAATTTTTAAAGGTACTTTCCTCAGTATCAAAGTAAAAAAATGCAAACTCTTAAACCGTTAGCATTATGCACATGGACTAAAAATTTATCTGCCTCTCTTTGATTTGTCCCCGCCACTAGATTGTAGTTTTATCTTTAGCACTAACTCTGGTTAATTGGTTGAAATAACCTATAATTCTGGGTCACAAAACCTTATTTATTTAATTTTTTATTACTTTCAATTTCGAGATAATTGTAGATTCACATGCAGTTGTAAGAAACAATACAGAAAAATGCAAAATGCCCTTTACGCAATTTTCCCCAACAGTAACATTTTTTGGAACCAAATAGTACAATATCACAACCAGGAAATTGGCATTGATATAATTCACCAAACATATTCAGACTTCACCAGTTTAATTTGCACTTGTGTGTGTATGTGTGGGTATTTAGTTCTGTGCAATTTTATCACGTGTAGATTTGTGTCACTGCCATCACAGTCAAAATACAAGACAGTTCTCTTACAATAATCTCTTATGCTACCCTTTTGTAACCATGGCCACCTCCTAATTTCCTAACCCTGGTAACCACTCATCTCTTCTCCATCTCTATAATTTTTTCATTTCAAGAATATTATATAAATGTAGCCTTCTGAGGTTGACTTTTTTCAGGTATCATTTCCTTGAGATCCATTTATGTTTTTATGTCCCTCAATGATACATTCCTTTTTATTTTTGAGTCATATTGCTTGGTATAAATGTGCCACAATTTTTAAAAATTATTTTAATATGGTAGGTTTGGGTTGTCTTCAGTTTTTGGATAGTATAAATGAAGCTGCTGTAAACATTCTGTTACTTTTTTTTATGATCATACATTTCATTTCTCTGGGCTAAATATACAATCACTGTATTGTATGAAATCCACACTGTTACTTGTGTAAGAAACTTCCATACTCTTTCCCAGAGGCTGTATTATTTTACATTCTTAACCAAAGTATATTAGTAGTTGTTTCTTTGCAATTTTGACATCATTTCCTAAGTGATATTACTATTTTTTAAAACTTTTGGTATTCTTATAGATGACTAGTTGTATTCGTTCCTTCTCACACTGCTTTAAAGAACTACCTGAGACTGGGTAATTTATGAAGAAAAAAGGTTTAATTGACTCACAGTTCTGCTGGATGTACAGAAAGCATGGCTTGGGAGGCTTCAGAAAACTTCCAATTATGGCAGAAGGAAAAGGGGAAGCAAGCACTGTCTTCACATGACAACGAGAGAGACAGAGTGAGAGAGAGAGAGGGAGAACGTGTAAGTGCTATACACTTTCAAACTATCAGATCTCATGAGAATTCATTCGGTATCATGGGAACAGCATGAGGAAAATCTGCCCTCATGATCCAATTACCTCTTATTGGGAATTACCATTCAACATGAGATTTGGGTGGGGACAAAGAGCCAAACCATATCATTCTTCCCCTGGCCCCTCCCAAATATCATGTCCCTCTCACATTTTGAAACACAATAATGCCTTCCCAACAGTCCCCTAATGTCTTAACTAATTTCAGCATTTGCCTTCCCAACAGTCCCCTAATGTCTTAACTAATTTCAGCATTAACCCGAAAATTCAAGCCCAAAGTCTCATCTGAGACAAGGCAAGTCTCTTCCACCTATGAGCCTGTAAAATAAAAAACAAGTTAGTTACTTCCAAGATACAATGGAGTTACAGACATTGGAGGTAAATGCCTCCATTCCAGATGGGATAAATTGGCCAAAACAAAGAGCTACATACCCTTTGCAGGTCTGAAATACAACAGCGCAGTCATTAAATCTTAAAGCTCCCAAATTACCTCCTTCGATTCCATGTCTCACATGCAGGGCACACTGATGCATGGGATAGGCTCCTAATGCCTTGGGAAGCTCTACTTTGGTGGATCTGTGTGGTGCAGCCCCCATGATTGCTTTAACAGGCTGGCATTGAGTGCCTGCAACTTTTATAGGTATGTGGTACAAGTTGTCAGTGGATCTACAATTCTTGAGTCTGGAGAACAATGGCCCTCTTCTCACAGCTCCACTAGGTAGTTCCGCAGTGGGGACTCTGTGTGTGGGCTTCGACCCCACATTTTCCCTCCACATGGCCCTAGTAGAGTTCTCCATGAGGTCTGCACCTGGGCAGCAGACTTCTGCCTGTATATCCAGGCACTTCCATACACTCTCTGAAATCTAGGCATAGACTCCCAAACCTCAAGTCTTGCTTTCGGCACCCCTGCAGACCCAAACCACATGAAAGCTACCAAAACTTGGGACTTGCACCATCTGAAGAAATGGCTTGAGCTGTACCTTGGCCCCTTTTAGCCATGGCTGGAGCTAGACCAGCTGGGATGTAGGGCACCATGACCTGAGGCTGCACAGAGCAGTGGGGCCCTGAGCCTGGTCCATGAAATCATTTTTCCCTCCTAGGCCTCCATGCCTGTGATGGGAGGGGCTACTGCAAAGGTCTCCACAATACCTTGGAATCATTTTCCCTGTATCTTGGTCATTAACATTTGGGTCCTTATGTAAGTTTCTGCAGCCAGCTTGAATTTCTTCCCAGAAAATGTTTTCTTTTCTTTTCTACCACATAGACAGGCTGCAAATTTTTCAAACTTTTATGCTGTGCTTTTCTTTTAAATATAAGTTCCAGTTTCAGATAATGTCTTGGTTCATGCATATGATTGTACACTGTTAGAAGCAGCAGGTCACATCTTGAATGCTTTGCTGTACAAAATTTCTTCTGCCAGATACCCTAAATCATCTCTCTAAAGTTCAATGTTCCACAGGTCTCTGGAGCAGGGGCTTAATGCTGCCAGTCTCTTTGCTAAAGCTTGGCCAAGAGTAACCTTTACTCCAATTCCTAATAAGTTCCTCATCTCCATCTAAGACCACCTCAGCCTAATTTCATTGTTCATACAGATATCAGTATTTTGGTGAAAACCATTCAATAAGTCTCTAGGAAGTTTCAAACCTTCCCTAATCCTCCTGTCTTCTTTTGAGCCCTCCAAACTGTTACAACATCTGTTATTTTGTTCCAGATTTGCTTCCACATTTTCAGGTATCTTTATAGCAATGCCTAGCTTCTCTGGTATCAATTTTCTGTATTAGTTTATTCTCACAGCGCTAGAAAGAACTATCTGAGACCGGGTAATTTGTGAAGGAAAAAAGATTTAATTGGCTCACGGTTCTAGAGGCTGTAAAAGAAGTATGACTGGGGAGACCTCAAAAAACTTATAATCATGGTAGAAGGCAAAGGGGAAGCAAGCACTGTCTTCATATGGTGGCAGGAGAGAGAGAGAGAGAGAGAGAGCAAAGGAGGAAGTGCTACACACTTTCAAACCATCAAATCTTGTGACAACTCACTATCCTGAGAGCAGCATGGGGAACATTCACCCTCATGATCCAATCAACTCCCACTAGGTCCCACCCCCAACTTTGGGAATTGCAATTCAATATGAGATTTGGGTAGGGACACAGAGTCAAACCATATCACTAGTGATATCTCATTATGGTTGTGTTTTTCTGTCTTTTACTGGCTAATGGTATTAAACATTGTTTAATTAATCTGTCATATCTTTTTTTTCTAATTGTTTCAACTTATGAATTTTCATAACTCTTTAAATATTTAAAACATAAGTTATTTGTCATATCAGTGGTTTGCAATTTTTTTTCCACTGTGTAGCTTGAGACAATAGGATTTAATGCTTTGTTTAGGTTTATATGATAGAATTCCATGACAGTTTAGCAATGTGTAGGAAGAAAACAGGGAAGAGACTTAAAAAATCCTAGTTCTCTATGTATTTGCTATTCTTATTCTAGATATTAAACATAGTCCAGACTTTGAGCATGCATACTATCTTTGCTTCTCATCTCTTACAATCTGTTCAATTGAAAAAATGTATACAAACCAAGCTTGCAATTTATTACCCAGAATAATAGACTTTGATTGTATTCTATGGTTCTAACTATATGCTCTTGCTATCAACCTTTGGAAAGTCATTTTAAAAATTGTTGCATTGAACATCTTAATAGAAAATCACTGATACAGGTTTTACCAATGTAATCCAAAATAATTTATAAGTGATTGTTAAGTTCATTAACACTTGTAAAACATATGTGTATACTATTATTTAATGCTGGATTTTATTTAGTATATTCTTGTGACGCATTTCAGCCAGTTTTTATGATAGAATTGTATTTGGGTTAAGTTGTTATAAAATTTATTTTAAAGAGTCTTTTTTTTCTTTTTTGTGTGACTAAACAACACGATAAAAGAAAGCCCAACATATTCTTCCTTCCTTATCAGCTATAGCCAGGAGTATTCTTAAATTTGAGCCTGAGTTGATGGTCTAATGTTAATATTTTCAGAATCGTGCAGTTATGTGCTCCTAGAAAGAGGAAGACCCCACCACATGTAGTACATAAAAGTAATTTCCTAAATCTGAGCCCTTATATGTAGGAGTGATGGAAAAAAAATTCCATTAAGTCCCCCTCCCTAAATACTAAGATAATACCAAATACTTACTTTGAGCTTGATTCAAACGATCTGTTTATACATGCTTTCAAAATTGATCGATGACCACATATGTATGATGGTAATAAATCTAAACATTTTTTTTCTGGAAATGAAGTCTTGGTCTTCACATGCAAAACTACTTAGTGAAATGGTCACCTCTTAGTGAAAGGATAGAGGAAATGAGGACAATCTTTGCTAGGCACTTCTTCCTCTCTATCCTCTTTACTTTTTCCTACTAATTAGCAGATTGTGTTTGTTTTTAATGTGTCATTTTGCCTGCATAGAGAGAATTACAGACATTAATTTGGAGGCCAGCCGTGAGGTCAAGGTAAAAATGCCCTTCAATATGTGTCCCCCTTATGGCCATTCTCCAGTTGCTTCCTTACGATGAGGGTGCCGGCCATTAGCTCACATTGTATAACATACGCTAGGCAATCAAGTCTTATACCTGGATAATACTTTCTGGGGTAAACTTCTCAATCCAGGCACATGAATTTCATTTTGTCAGCTTGAAGAGAGAGATCATGGTTCAAAACAAAGAAAGATTTACCTAAGCTTCTGATGTGAAAAATGACACAGTTCTGCTCAAAGATTTTGCTCCTTCAATTCAAATGAGAAGTCATTCCTTTTAAATAAATAAATAAGCATATGTGAATTTTTTCTCCTATTCTTAAGCAATAGATAAAGATAAATAGAAAATTATAATTGTAGTCAGAAGCATTTCTGTTTAAATTTCTATTTATAAAAATCTGATATTATGATAATATTGTTAGCAGTGATTATCTCTTCAAAATGGAATATATAGCACTTCATTAACATGTGAATTTTCACAGCGAGGTAAATGTTAGTTTTAATTAGGTAGTATAATAAAAGTGAAAAAAGCAGAAAACTTATATTTTAGAATATGAACTTCAAGCTTCATTCTTTAGTTAAGTGTTTTTTAACATTTCAAATTTTTGCCAAACTATGGGAAAGACAATTTGGTGTGAAATGTTCCCAAAGGACTTAATCCATAGGTCATCTGAAAGCACATTTACTTTGAAGAGCAAATTCATGTGAGAGGATTTATTCAACTAAAATATAATTTAAATTACAGAACAAGTATATTACTCCTAAGAGGTATTTTATTCATTTTAAATTTCAGAAGATGAGGTTAATTAAATCATGTTGCTTTAACTGGTTTACTGGTAAACTAAATGTAAAATGCTTTACCTTATAATATTCAATATAATAACCACAACAAAATGAATTTAAAATATTTTTACAAATCTTTGTGTGGTGTACCTGCAGACACATTGCATGAGACATTTAAAATCACCTGTATTTTAATTCATGTCAGATTCCCATCATTCTAAATTTTCTAGAAGACAGTGAAACATATTAAAATATTTGAACAACATCAATGTAGCTACAGAACCCCTGAAATTAAGGCAGGCCATCTGGATCCCATTTTGAGCTTTATTTGGAATGCAAATCTTAAAAAGATAGGTTATCTATTTTTCTAGTTTACTGTAGATTAGAAGTTGCAGTTAGATTAAAAGCAACAAACTAGATGTGGGAGGAGGTAGTGAATGGGGGTGGTTAGAGGTATTCTGACAGCATTGAGAAGTTGGAGCTGGCAGTCTGACATTGAGGGATACAGAAACTCCCAAGCATATGCAGAATGTGCTGTGGTTTTAGCACAGAACAAGAATGGAGGTACATAATGATGGTGATGAGTCATGAAGAAAACGACTACATTATGTGCTGTGTCCTCTGTTAGGGAAGGAAGTAAAATGTACTCTGTGCTTTTTGGAAGAATTTCTATCAAAACAAACAAAAAAAAGTGAAAATGAATCATCAGCACCCGATGGAACAAACTTCATTTATCTAGACTATTCAGTCCTATAAAATGTGGCTTCATGATAAAATCACTCTGATTCTCCTAGGGTTTTATCCTGGAACAAATTGAGACTGTAAAACTATACAAGTCCTAATCTACCAAAAATCTGGTTTGGAATTAAAGTTTCATTCTTTAGTTAAGTGTTTGACTTTGGACAATGGAGTCTATTTGAAGTTGAGTGTTCATACATCTGTAAATGCCAGTTTTGCATTTGTCGTGAGGTTTCATTGCAAACCTAAAGGGAATATGGAATTGAAAGTGAAGTCACATATGATAAAGGAGTATTACTAATAATCCTTCTAAGCTTCTGTTGATAACTGAGAGCATCTGGGATTTTGGAGTAATTTTTTTAAAGAACAAGATCTAACAAACTTGCTGAATTTAAGCATACTTTATTTTCTAAGGCTCTTACTTGGATATCATGTAAAGTACCAGTTGGACTCCAGGTCAGATACCCATCACCTTAAACACTCTGAAAGATAATAGAACACGTGCAAATGTACACAGCCTCAGAGCAACTTAAACAGAACCACAGAATCTCTGAAATTAAGAGACCCTCAAGCCCTCTCTCTGAGCTCTGTTGGACTCTAAATCTTAAAAAGCTGGTTTATCTGTTTTCTATCTTATTGCAGATTAGAAATCACAAACCAGTAGTTGGAGGAGGTAGGGAGGGGCAGCTGTTAAATACATTCTGATGGCATTGAGAAGTTACAGCTGACAGCCTGACATTGAGCAATACAAAAACTGCTTCAAACTCACACATTACCATATGGAGGAGATAAAAAAGAATTAGAACCACACATAATTTCCAAAGATACCTCAATTCATCTCATTCCTTTAACATGACTTCCTTGTGAAATTTTTCAATGTTTTACCTTAGGCATTGAGATTGGGATAGTCAGTCCAGTGGATGAGGATTTCATACAGAGGCAAGTTGAAGACAAATAGGAACTGAACTTACATTTAAAAATCATGGAATGGAGATTGAGTCCTGTGACTGGTGTGCAAAGGCCAGTCATAACAACTTTGGTTGATAAAGCTGGGAGACTGGTAGAACATTCTCAAATTTGCAGGAAGAACACACACATAAAACTAGTGAGAAAGAAGTCAATTAAATACGTGATTCTCCTTGCATTTGGAGTTTTTTTTGCTATCATTACCATCACTTTTGTTTTTCCCATTATGAGAGTACTAAAAAAATTATGTTATTGAAAATTAAATCTGAGTTACATAACTGTAGTGAGATGCCAAAGGGAGGATTTGCACTCCATATTCACACTTAACTGGTATCAGTGCTGCTCAGTAGAACTGTCTGCAGTGAAGTAAATTCTGTATCTGTGTTGTTTATTAATGCATGTAGCTATATTAGCCACATGTAGCTACTGGGCATCTCAAATGTGCCTGGTATGATCAAGGAAGCAATTATTAATCTTTAGTTAATATTGTTTAATTTAAGTTTAAATTAAGTGGCCAGATGTCACTTGTATTTATGCTATTGGACAATACTGGTCATCATGATTTTTAAACATCAAAACAATTCAAATGAATGGAAAGGTGTTAGGATCCAAAAACATGTAAGATAGTCTTTGTGTAAACTTATTCAATGTAAAAATCTCAAAAAAATCTGAGAGGCTATTTATTGTAGCTGAGTGTAAGGAAAATGGTATCAAATACTGCAAAAGTAGTTCTCTCCTCATTTTGATGCCTGCCCCGAAACTGAGTACTATTATCAGGGCACCAGGGGAATCACTGAGGCATTGATGTAGATGTTTATGCAAGAGAAAGATCTATTGGGATTTAGAATGAAAACATTTTTTTCCTCAAGATAAAGGCAGCAGAGAAAAAAATTTTAGAAAGCAAGTGATCTCAGGAAGAACACTATTTATTTTAATAATAAACTTTATTATCTCAGACAGGTATAGCTGATGTTGGAGGAAAGTAATAAAGAATTCCTTTCAGAGACAAAAATAGAAAACCAGGTCTCTGTTATTCCTCCTAGAATTAAATAAAGCATGAAAATAGATGTTTAATTAAGTTTAAAAGAATACTTTTTAATAAAAAAATCAAAATATGAGACTTAATATTTATAAATTTAATTTGTAATAATAAATACATAAATTTATATAGTTCTTCAATTTACTAAATGTATATAAATGAAATTGTTTATATTTTTTGTTATAATTTGCTTTGTTTGCTTATATTAAGTATTATAACATGGCAACAATTTAAAGAGCCATTACTTCTAATGGTGAAAACTGCAATTACTTTTGCATCAAGCTAATAACTTTAAAGTGAATGCTTTTAAGACAAAAATATGTTGTATAGGCAATGAAATTATTTAATAAAACATGAAGTGCCTTGATAGTAAGCTAGGAGAGAATGTGACTAATTTTAATGTGACATGGTTTTCTAGGCTTATATAAAACACATTTGTCTCATTTATAATATCTTCTCATCTCCTCTGTCTCCTAATTTTGAAAACGTGTTCATCATATATTTAAGGACTAATACGTACCTGTGCTACATTTCAGAGAAATATACATGGGGCTAATGATACAATTTAGGTTATCACATTTTAAACCAGGGTATCATTTCTTCTACAATGATGACTATATTGTATCAGGTAATAAACTAAGAACAATTAAACTGATCGAGTTAATATTGATTCTTTGTTGATTCTATTTTATCTTAAAGTTGTTAGTGTCTCTTAAGAGTACATAGGAAGTGAAAATCTTTAATTAAAAAACAATCACAAAAAGTAGGATAAGACATCAATACATTGATTATACCTACTATCTCAATTTATTTACCTTATATAAAAGATAAGCTAAAGAAAAGTAAACGTTCAGAAGAAAGCAATGACTTTTTAAAAAGTGTTAATTTCTGAAAGGATAATCTGTTTTTGAAGGACCACATACTTTTATTAAACCAAAGTTTAAGTGATGATACTACGAAGTAATGTATTTCCTCCTTGAAAGTGGTGATAGATTGTAATATGTAATGGTTTGCATGCCACAAAACAAAGTTCTGTCTTCCATAAGCACAGAAAAGCTTATTTATTTTTATTTTTATTTTTATTTTTATTTTTTTAGATGGAGGCTCTGTCTCTGTCACCCAGGCTGGAGTGCAGTGGTGCGATCTTGGCTCACTGAAACCTCTGCCTCCTGGGTTCAAGTGATTCTCTTGCCTCATCCTCCCCAGTAGCTAGGATTATACTTGCCCGCCACCACACTAGGCTAATTTTTGTACTTTTAGTAGAGACAGGGTTTCACAATGTTGGCCAGGGTGTTTTTGAATTCCTGACCTCAGGTGATCTACCCGCCTCGGCCTCCCAAAGTGCTGAGATTACAGGCATGAGCCACCGCCACCGGTCATAAGCACAGAAAAGCTTTAACTCAAGGAAGTAACATTAATCTTTTTAAGTACTAAGTTCTTTTAGAAATATTTTATCACATTTCCAAAAAGAGTGATCTTTTCTCATTACCTTACACCTTTTTGTTGGTGGGTTTAAGCAAAATCATTATTAAAAGAACACAGTGTTTTTTATTTAAAACGTTATCAGCTTAAAAAATGAAATACCTTAAAACAGACAAAATCCTCTCATTCAATGTAATATGGAATAATATTTTTTATTAAAACCAAAAGAGTTATGTTTTTCTTAGCATTCCCCACCAAGAAATTTCTTTCAAATTCTTTAAGTCTTTTTAAGTCAAACATTTGAGTTGTACTGTAACATGGACTACAATAAGATACTCAGTGAGACTGAATGGAAATGTAGAAAGTATTTATTATTATTGAATGAACCATTATTTATTGCCTATACTACTGCACATTGCATCCTAATAGGTGCACTGGGTGTGTCAGTCAATAAAACATAGTTCAATAGGTATGAAGTTTCAGTTATGCAAGATGATTAAGTTTTAGAGACCTACTTTATGACATTGCACAAATAGTTAACAATACTCTATTGTATACATAAAAATTTGTTGATAGTGTAGTACTCACAGTAAGTGTTTTTACCATGATAAAACAAAACAAAATAACAGCAGAATAACCTCACAATGCTATTTCTTCAAAATTTAGGAATTTAGCAGTTGTCTAAAAGATGAAAAATTTGGAATGTGAGGTACATGGGAAATATAGTAGAAAAGGGGTTTGGAAGGTATATTGGAAGGCCCAATTGTGATATGTTTACATAAATTTAGGTAATATCATATATTTACAAAGAACTTTTTCACCGAAACATGGCTAGTGATGTACACTGTACTTTAAGACTTCATTATTGATTATGATGGAAAAGATGAGTGGAAAGACAAGAACATGCAGACCACAGGGTCTATTAATAGTCTTACTATAATAGGCATGACAAGACAAGCCTCTTGACTTAGTTAATGTCAGTGGAATTGCAAAGAGATATTCAAATGACCCTACACATTTAGAAACTTAAGAAGACAAAAATTCTGAGGGATTCTGAATACTGATTCACTCAGTATCAGCCATGAAAATAACAATAACAAAACTATATAATATTAAAGATAGGATTATTTAAATCAAAAGTGAATTCCTCTATAAATGATGACATGAGGCATCCTGAAATGAATCCTTTATGTTGACTTACTGTGGTTTCTGATTTTTTATGGTCTCTTATGAAGGATGATGGATGCAGTAGTCCTGTGCCCAAGAAACTAAGGTTATTATTTTTTAAAGAAGACTAGTCATGAGCAGTAGTGAGAAGGGGAAAGGATAGAACAAAAAGTTTGACCTGTAACAGACTGAGTAATCAATTGCGATAACTCACTACCTTCAAATCAGTCCAAGATACTAAGATTTCAAGGCAAGTCTATCAAAATTTATATTAATAAAGTTGAAATGAATAGGTTATGAAAAAGATGTTTAGATAAATCACAATTTTGCTTCTCAAAATTAATGAACATTTATAAATGTACATAATATATACATGTATATTAGATATATTACATATAATTTATAATATGTAATATATACACGATATATAATGTACATATATTACATTCTATTCCATATACATATGTGTATATATGCATATAAATATACACGTGTGTTCACATACATATTTGTAGATATATGTATATATGTACATATATATTTTGTGTATATATGTGTATATGTACATATATTTTGTGTATATATATGTATATACACATATACATATATGTGCACATATGTATATATGTACATATATATTTTGTGTATATATATATGTATATACACATATACATATATGTGCACATATGTATATATGTACATATATATTTTGTGTATATATATGTATATACACATATACATATATGTGCACATATGTATATATAGTAGAAAATCTTAGGGTCAGAAAATGACTTTTTTCTATAACTTAAAAAGCATTAAAATTAAATGCATGAATAAATGCTTATAAACTAAAAAGAAAGGCAGAGAGGGTAATAGTGAGAAACCTCAAAACACCCAACTAATCTCTGAAATCTTGATTAAAAAGAATGCCCTATAAGTCATGTATATTTGAATTATGTCAGCTTTCAAATTGATGATTTCTCAACCCAGATTTTTAATATAATTATATCATACTAAGTTTAAGAACATAGCAGGAAGTCTATGAAAACTGGAACAAATTCTACTTTTTTTGCATTTTTGAAACCATAATATGTATGATGTGAAGTAAAATTTAGATACTTTTGCTGCAGACATATTAGCTTCTATTTCTGAAGAAAAGTTATAAGGAAACAAGGAAATTTAAGAAACATTTGAGGAGAAAATGGGCTCTGCTTGCTTTAAATTTTAACTCATCTCTACAACATGGCAAACTAATTAAAATCCTGGCTTTAATAAACTTAATATTAGATTATACCAGAGAAGTAAATATAAATTTTTTTTTGAGTCAGACAAATTTGAAGGTTAAATCAATAAACAATTGCAATTGTCTTTATGTTATAGTCTAAATAAAATTTTTAAATTACCCTGATTTATGTATGTGCATGTTTTTCCTTGCAGTACTTTTTTTCTTGATATTCCATTGTTTCTTTGGATAGAAAAAAAAATTAAGTTGGAAAGCTCCAACTAAACAAATCATAAAATAAATGATCAGTTTTATTTTTCTTAGCAATTTTTTATTTCTTTTAACTTGTTTAACAATTTATTTCTTCTTTTTCTGCATTGCTCTTTGATTCAAAATTTGTGTTTTTTCCTTTCCTATATTTATAAAGTGTTATTAAAGAATTCTATGAATATTTAGGTATTAAATCATTTTATAATATCTTTGTTCATTTATTTCAGACACTAAACCCAGAAAAGCAGCCTATTACAAGAGTTTCACATCAATGATAAGTCTTATATAGTTCATGACCATAATGGGGAAAAGTTTCCATGTGATCAATGGTAAGCAGGTGAACAATTATCATTATTTTCAATGGATGCTGTGCTGTGATTTCTATCCTATTGAACATAAATTTACTTTTTGATCATTTTAAATGCCCCAGGGAAATAATGCACAATTGATATATTTACTTTTCCTCTTGCAATTGAATAAGCATACAATTTATAAATTAAAAGTATGGATTATTCATTATATTTGAATGGTTGACTCTTAAATTTAAAGAGTTTTTTTTCACATTAATACAATATATAGTAGGAAAAAAGAAGGCAGGTGTATTAGTCTGTAATCACACTGCTAATAAAGACTTATTAGAGACTGGGTAATTTATAAAGGAAAAGAGGCTTAATGGACTCACAGTTCCACATGGCTGGGGAGGCCTCACAATCATAACAGAAAACAAAGGAGGAGCAAAGTCATGTCTTACATGGCAGCAGGCAAGAAAGAATGAGAGCCAAGCAAAAGGGGAAACTCTTTATAAAACCATCAGATCTCATGAGACTTATTCACTACCACATGAACAATATGGGGAAACTGCTCCCATGATTCAATTATCTCTCACTGAGCTTCTTTCACAACACATGGGAATTATGGGAGCTGTAATTCAAGGTGAGATTTGGGTAGCGACACAGCCAAACTATGCCATTCCAACCCAGCCCCTCCCAAATCTCATGTCTTCACATTTCAAAATCAATCATGCCTTCCCAACAGTCCCCCAAAGGCTTAACTCATTTCAGCATTAACTCAAAAGTCCACAGTCCAAAGTCTTATCTGAGACAAGTCCCTTCTGCCTATGAGCCTGTAGCATCAAAAGCAAGTTAGTTACTTCCTAGATATAATGGGGGTATAGGGATTGGATAAATACACCCATTCCAAATGAGAGAAATTGACCAAAATGAAGGGGCTAAAGGCCCCATGCAAGTCCAAAATCCAGCAGGGCAGTCAAATCTTACAGTTCCATAATGATCTCTTTTGACTCTATGTCTCACATTCAGGTCATATTGATGCAAGGGATGGGTTCCCATTGTCTTGGGCAGCTCAGTTCCTGTGGCTTTACAGGGTACAGCCTCCCTCCCAACTGCTTTCACTGGCTGGTGTTGAGTGTCTGTAGCTTTTCCAGACACATGTGCATGCTGTTGGTGATTCTACCATTCTGGGGTCTGGAGGACGGTGGCCCTCTTCTCACAGCTCCACTAGGCAGTGTCCCAGTGGGGACTCTGTGTGAAAGCTTCAGCCCCACATTTTTCTTCTGCACCACCCAAACAGAGGTTCTCCATGTGGGCTCCACCCCTGCAGCAAAGTTCTGCCTGGACATCCAGGCATTTCCATACATCCTCTGAAATCTAGGTGGAGGTTCCCAAACTTCATTTCTTGACTTCTGTGCACCCACAGGTTCAACCTTATGTGGAAAGTGCCAATGCTTGGGGCTTGCACCTTTTAAAGCTAGAGCCCAAGCTGTACCTTGACTCCTTTTAGCCATGGCTAGAGTAGCTGGAATGAATGACACCAAGTCCCTATGCTGTACACTGCAGGGGGGCCCTGGGCCCAGCCCACAAAACCATTTTTTCCTCCGAGGCCTCAGGGCATGTGATGGGAGGGGCTGCCACAGAGATCTCTGTCATGCCCTGGAGACATTTTTGCCATTGTCTTGGGGATTCGAATTTGGCTCCTTGTTACTTATGCAAATTCCTGCAGCTTGAATTTCTCCTCAGAAAATAGGTTTTTCTTTTCCATTGCATTGTCAGGCTGCAAATTTATGAACTGTTATGCTCTGTTTCCCTTTTAAAACTAAATGCTTTTAATGACACCCAATTCAGCTCTTGAATGCTTTACCCAACTGCTTAGAAATTTTTTTCTACCAGACACCCTAAATCATCTCCCTCAAGTTCCAAGTTTCATAAATCTCTAGGGCAAGAGCAAAATGTTGCCAGTCTATTTGCTAAAATATAGCAAGAGTCACCTTTACTCTAGGTCCCATGTTCCTCACCTCCTTTTGAGGCCACCTTAGCCGGGATTTCCTTGCCCATATCATTATCAGTATTTTTTGGTTAAAACTATTCAACAAGTCTTAGAAAGTTCCTAACTTTCCCACATTTTCCTGTTTTCTTCTGAGCCTTCCAAACTTTTCCAACACTTGCCTGTTACCTAGTTCCAAAGTTGCTTCCACATTTTTGTGTATCTTTACAGTAGCACCCCACTCTACCAGTACCAATTTACTGTATTAGTTCATTCTTACACTACTAATAAAGACATAGCCAAGACTGAGTAATTTATAAAGAAAAAGAGGTTTAATGGACTCACAGTTCCATGTGGCTGGGGAGGCCTTACAATCATGGCAGAAGGCAAAGGAGGATCCAAGTCACATCTTAAATGGCAGCAGGCAAGAGAGTGAGAGCCAAGTGAAAGGGGAAACCCCTTATAAAACCATCAGATTTCATGAGACTTATTCACTACCACTAGAACAGTATGGGGAAACTGTCCCCATGATTCAATTATCTCCTACCGGGTTCCTCCCACAACACATGAGAATTTTGGGAGCTACAATTCAAGTAGAGATTTGGGTGGGGACACAGACAAACCATATGAGTAGGATATTTAATAACTAGATACAGACACAGAGCAGATTAAACTGCATTACTCTATATTTTACAATCTTGACAATGCGCTTGTTTTATTACATTTTAAATCATTCACAAACAAATGCCTTCTGAAGTGATTTTTTACATCTAAAGTCATTTCTCAATCAAATATCTTCTGTTTTACTTTTGGAGAAAGAAATAACTATAAGGTGTAAGGAAGGGATCCAGTTTCAGCTTTCTACATATGGCTAGCCAGTTCAATTCAAGATGGATTAAAGACTTAAACGTTAGACCTAAAACCATAAAAACCCTAGAAGAAAACCTAGGCGTTACCATTCAGGACATAGGCATGGGCAAGGACTTCATGTCCAAAACACCAAAAGCAATGGCAACAAAAGACAAAATTGACAAATGGGATCTAATTAAACTAAAGAGCTTCTCCACAGCAAAAGAAACTACCATCAGAGTGAACAGGCAACCTACAAAATGGGAGAAAATTTTCACAACCAACTCATCTGGCAAAGGGCTAATATCCAGAATCTACAATGAACTCAAACAAATTTACAAGAAAAAAACAAACAACCCCATCAGAAAGTGGGCAAAGGACATGAACAGACACTTCTCAAAAGAAGACATTTATGCAGCCAAAAAACACAAGAAAAAATGCTCATCATCACTGGCCATCAGAGAAATGCAAATCAAAACCACAATGAGATACCATCTCACACGAGTTAGAATGGTAATCATTAAAAAGTCAGGAAACAACAGGTGCTGGAGAGGATGTGGAGAAATAGGAACACTTTTACACTGTTGGTGGGACTGTAAACTAGTTCAACCTATTGTGGAAGTCAGTGTGGCGATTCCTCAGGGATCTAGAACTAGAAATACCATTTGACCCAGCCATCCCATTACTGTGTATATACCCAAAGGACTATAAATCATGTTGCTATAAAGACACATGCACACGTATGTTTATTGTGGCATTATTCACAATAGCAAAGACTTGGAACCAACCCAAATGTCCAACAATGATAGACTGGATTAAGAAAATGTGGCACATATACACCATGGAATACTATGCAGCCAAAAAAATGAGTTCATGTCCTTTGTAGGGACATGGATGAAATTGGAAGTCATCATTCTCAGTAAACTATCGCAAGAACAAAAAACCAAACACTGCATATTCTCACTCATAGGTGGGAATTGAACAATGAGATCACATGGACAAAGGAAGGGGAATATCACACTCTGGGGACTGTGGTGGGGTGAGGGGAGGGGGGAGGGATAGCATTGGGAGATATACCTAATGCTAGATGACGAGTTAGTGGGTGCAGCGCACCAGCATGGTACATGTATACATATGTAACTAACCTGCACAATATGCACATGTACCCTAAAACTTAAAGTATAATAAAAAAAAATAAAGATACTTAAATATTAAAAAAAAAGAAATAACTAAAAATAATTATTATGAAGGAATCATTCAAGATCTCTTCATACATATAAAGTAAAATATTATTTAATATTTTTAGTTCATTATCTACTCTTTATACAAATGATCATTAATATTATTTACAGTAGGCTTACCTTATTTTGCTAGTGTACTTAATTTGATAACAATTATCTCAATAATTAAAACATTTGTGTCTTTTGACTTACAAACTATGTCTAGATATGATGCAAATTTTAATTCATGGTCCTAAGCTGTCATATAAAATGCTTCATGTCCTAAAGTAGCCATAGTAATAAATCAGTGTACAAGTTAGGTAAGTTTATTTACCCTGCAGTGTGCATATTCTAGTGGATTTGGACAACCATTTTAGTAACAGCTTTTCATTCATGTCTTCTCAGTCTTTTCATCTGCCATCAAGCATCTATTGCTTTTATATCCATTATAAGTTATACAATCTCTTCATAAACAAAACTCAATTAAAATCCCAAGTCATTCATCCATTTATCTGTTGATTGATGAAAAGGTTGATTCCATATCTTGTCTATTGTGAATAATGTAGAAATAATCATGGGAATGCAGATGTCTTCTTTGATACATTGGTTTTCTCTCTCTTGAATATATACCCAGCAGTAGGATTGCTGGGTCATAAGTAGTTCTATTTTTAGTTTTTTTGAGAACTTCCATACTGTTCTCTTTAGTGGTCATGTGGTACATATACACAATGGAATATTATTCGGCCATAAGATAATAAAATTCTGTCATTTGCAAAAACATAGATAGAACTGGAGGACATTGCATGTTTTCACTCATGTATAGTAGGTAAAAAAATACAATTTAACACTTAAAGATAGAGAGTAGAATGATAGTTCTCAGAGGATAGGAAGGGTAATGAGGAGAGGGGAATAATGAGGGGATGGTTAATGGGTACAAAAATACAGTTAGAAATAACAAGATCTAGTGTTTGGTAGCACAATAGGGTGACAATCATTAACATTAAATTATTGCATATGTCAAAACAATTGAAAGATTGAAATTGGAATATTCCTAATACAAAGAAAAAAAAATTTGAGGTGATGGATACCCCAATTACCCTGAATTGATCATTACACAACATATGCTTGTATAAAATATCACACATATACCATTAATATGTACTATTATGTGTCTATAATAATTATAAATAAAAACATAAAATAAAATGAAATAAAATCTCGTCAAGTCATTACACTTGGCAAGAGGATCCACAAGAAGAGACGTTAAGAGCGTATATGAACATATGAGTAAAATATTTACTTGCTCATTACCGCATGTATTCATTCAGCTAATATTTATTTGGAGTATATTTTCTGCTGAACATTCTTCTATCCATTGGTGAATAAATCAGTGCCAGTTAAGTCTCATTATCTTTCAATGTGTATATTATAGTATATCTATACCACCACTATAGCAGAGTTTTCATTCACAGCTGTCCAACAGTCATAATTTCATATTTTATAGTTTCCTACAATTTGTATATATGTCGTTCCCACAGTGTGTGTATATGTTTGTATTTAGGCATACACACACACACACACACACACACACACACATATATATTTATGTTTATAAATTTGTGTTTATAAATGTGTATGGACATCAATATATCTATATTTCTATCCTTCCGTCTATCTGACCTCCCTCACCTCTGAATTGTAAATGTTCCACATATTTGGAATGTTAAGCTCCAAACATTTCACTTACAATTTAAAACTTTATTAAAAATGAAAAAATGCAAATCGCAAAACATAATTTTTAGTTTCTTTTAAAAAAATTTTGAATATGTAATACTTATCTATATGTATTGGGTACATGTGATATTTTGATACAAGCATATTATGTGTAATTATTTAATCATGGTAATAAAGATATCCATCACCTATAACATTTATCATTCCTTTGTGTTAGAAACATTCCAATTTCTATTTTTTAGTTATTTTAAAACATACAATAAATGATTCCTAACTATTGTCACTCTATTGTGCTACTGAACACTAAGTCTTATTCTTTCTATCCAACTGGTGGGTCAGTTTAGTAGTTTGGTTTTAATTCTTCTCAGAGCAAAGAACAGGCTAGAATATCTTCAGTTCCTAAAATTTATGATAGCTAGTTAGCTAGATATGGGTAATATCTAGATAGATATAGATGAAAAGAGAGTTTTCCTTATTCTGTTTAAAATTGGTACAATGGATTCCACTGTGTTGTCTGAAAATACCAGCTAGTATTTTAATTGGTTTAAGAAGTGGAGTATTGTACCAGCTTCTACAAAATAGCCATGGCCTAATTAAAAGGGTAGAGAATTTTCATATGAACTTAGCTACTTCATTTTGTAAAGCTGATAAACTGAGTTTCCTAGTGAACATATTTGTTGCAGCTGTCACGTTCTGTATGTTGACCAGTCAAACAAAGTGCCAACCAATGCTATAGCAATGCTAGAAATAATGAAGTCTAAATCTTGGTATAATTTGGCTCCATGTTGTCAGATTCAACAAAATCCAGCAAGAGACAGTAAACCAATTGAACTAATCTAAAAGCAGAGATGGAAGGAAATACAGTTTAGTGAATGGAGAAATTTACTACGCTCCCAGTTAGAAACTACAAAAGGTAAAAAAAAAAAAAAAAAAAAAAAAAGTTCTATATGTAAAGTGAGAAGGCCTGGGAGCTGCAACCTAAGTAGAAAGTCAAACTAGTACCTGCAACACAAATGCGATGAGCCTGTTGGCAAAGGCAATGAGTCTATTGGAAAAGATAATTTAGCTGGTTTGGTTCCACACACACAAGTTCATTATTTAATAAAGTTTCAGCCTAGTAGCCACTAAGTTGAGGAAAAGGGACGTAGATGCAGCTTAGAGGCCTATAAGTAAAGTATTATTGTCTTCAGGCTTAAAAACTATACGTAGAGAGTACTAAATGGTGAGATTATCTGGAAGAAAATAAACTGGGAGCCTTATAAGTTTTTGCTAAAACAGCACTACCAAAAACCCCAAAACCTGACCTGAAACTATCTGTATATATTAAATTATTAAAAGAATGCTTAGAATGCCCAAGTTTAATCTTTAAGATCTCAATTACTAAAGCTGTGCAGACTCTAAAAATGATGTATTCTTTCTGCTCACCTCATGGTCATGAAAGATAATGAGTAAAGAATAAATTCCTTGATAGTAATGCTATGCAAGAAGCATGTTTCACTGCAAGAGTAGGGGACTGAAATATTACCTATGAGAGATATTACCTAGAATATTTTCTCTTTTCCCCTTTCCTAAGTTGGATATTTTATCCCTAGTATTCTATTACATCTTCACAGCATGTATTACATATAGCTTATTGTGTATACTAGTGACAAATAACTTGGCTTTTTAATTACAAGATCAGCAGTCCTCAGATTTGAACTTGATTGAAAAAATTGAACATCACTCAGATATCCTTGACCTTGAATATGGAGTCAAATACTGAACTTGATAGGGCAATTATAT
Organism: Homo sapiens; assembly: GCF_000001405.40. NCBI lineage: Eukaryota > Metazoa > Chordata > Mammalia > Primates > Hominidae > Homo > Homo sapiens. The sequence continues at coordinate 88,426 of NW_009646200.1, read as the reverse complement.
TTATCTTTCTTAGAAAGCCAATGAGTGTGTGTCATGCATAGAAAAAATATGGTATAAATTTTGTGGAAACCAAAGGGATGGATTCGGAGAAAAACAAAACAAAACTGTCCATATCTATTTTTATTTTTTAACAATATAACGTTTTATTCAGAGCGACAACGCATCCAGCTCTAACACAACATTTCTCAGCCTCTTTGATGTGGGAACATGACTATACTCTGATCGGTAATGTGTAAGAGGTAATGGTATGTGGAAATTCTCACTGGGAGATGCTCAGCTGGAAAGTGAGTCGCTATCTCCCTCCTCTCTTTCCTCTTTTCTCTTGTCTCAACACAAATGTTTCCCAAAGCTGTGGCGTAGTTTTTTTTTTTTTTTTTTTGCTTTTTCTTGGGAATGAAATCCAGAGTCAAAAAGAGCCTACATTCACATTGGCTTCATGGGAATTATAAAGTGGCCTTAGATCGCTTACATCTGGACTTTTTGCTATGTGTGAGATAAATAAACCAGAGTCATATTTAAAACATTATAGTTTTCCATTTGTTTGTGTCTTCTCTTATTTCCTTGAGCAGTGGTTTGTAGTTCTCCTTGAAGAGGTCCTTCACATCCCTTGTAAGTTGTATTCCTAGGTATTTTATTCTCTTTGTAGCAATTGTGAATGTGAGTTCCTTCATGATTTGGCTCTCTATTATTGGTGTATAGGAATGCTTGTGATTTTTGCACCTTGATTTTGTATCCTGAGACTTTGCTGAAGTTGCTTATTAGCTTAAGGAGAGTTTGGCCTGAGATGATGGGGTTTTCTAAATATACAATCATGTCATCTGCAAAGACAGATAATTTGACTTCCTCTCTTCCTGTCTGAATACGATTTATTTCTTTCTCTTGCCTGAATGCCATGGCCAGAACTTCCAATATTACGTTGAATAGGAGAGTGGTGAGAGACGGCATCCTTGTCTTGTACCAGTTTTCAAAGGGAATGCTTCCAGCTATTTCTCATTCAGTATGATATTGGCTGTGGGTTTGTCATAAATAGCTCTTATTATTTTGAGATATGTTCCACCAATACCTGGTTTATAGAGAGTTTTTAGCATGAATGGGTGTGGAATTTTATTGAAGGCCTTTTCTGCATCTATTGAGATTATCATGTCGTTCTTGTCATTGGTTCTGTTTATGTGATGAATTATGTTTATTGATTTGCATATGTTGAACCAGCCTTCCAGGGATGAAGCTGATTTGATCTTGGTGGATAAGCTTTTTGATATGCTGCTAGATTCAGTTTGCCAGTATTTTATTGAGGATTTCTGCATTGATGTTCATCCTTGCTCATGGATAGAAAGAATGAATATCATAAAAATGTCCATACTGCCCAAAGTAATTTATAGATTTGATGCTATCGCCATCAAGTTACAATTGACTTTCTTCACAGAATTAGAAAAAAAAATTACTTTAAATTTCATATGGAACCAAAAAAGAGCCAGTATAGACAAGACAATCCTAAGCAAAAAGAACAAAGCTGGAGGCATCATGCTACCAGACTTCAAATTACAATACAAGGCTACAGTTACCAAAACCGCACGGTACTGGTACGAGAACGGATATATAGACCAACGGAACAGAACAGAGGCCTCAGACATAATGCCACACATCAACAACCATCTGATCTTTGACACACTTGACAAAAACTAGCAATGGGAAAAGGATTCCCTGTTAAGTAAATGATGCTGGGAAAACTGGCTAGCCACATGCAGAAAGCTGAAACTGGACCTCTTCCTTACACTTTATACAAAAATTAACTCAAGATGGATTAAAAACTTAAATATAAGACCTAAAGCCATAAAAAACCCTAGAAGAAAACCTAGGCAATACCATTCAGGACATAGGCATGGGCAAAGACTTCATGACTAAAACACCAAAAATAATGGCAATAAAAGCCAAAATTGACAAATGGGATCTAATTAAACTAAAGAGCTTCTGCACAGCAAAAGAAACTATCATCAGAGCGAAAAGGCAACCTACAGAATGGGAGAAAATTTTGCAATCTATCCATCTGACAAAGGGCTAATATCCAGAATCTACAAGGAACTTAAATAAATTTACAGGAAACAAACAAACAACCCCCCCATAAAGTGGCCAAAGGATATTAACAGACACTTCTCAAAAGAAGACATTTATGCAGCCAACAAACTTATTTAAAAAAGCTCATCATCACTGGTCATTAGAGAAATGCAAATCAAAACCACAGTGAGATACCATCTCATGCCAGTTACAGTGGCAATCATTAAAAAGTCAGGAAACAACAGATGCTGGAGAGGATATGAAGGAATAGGACTACTTTTACACTTTTGGTGGGAAGTGTAAATTAGTTTAGCCATTGTGGAAGACAGTGTGGTGATTCCTCAAAGATCTAGAACCAGAAATACCATTTGACCCAGCAATCCCATTACTGGGTATGTACCCAAAGGCTTATAAATCATTCTACTATAAAGACACAGGCACACGTATGTTTATTGCAGCATTATTCACAATAGCAATGACTTGGAACCAACAAAAATGCCCATCAATGATAGACTGGATAAAGAAAATGTGGCACATATACACCATGGAATACGGTGCAGCTATAAAAAAGGATGAGTTCATGTCCTTTGCAGAGACATGGATGAAGCTGGAAACCATCACTCTCAGCAAACTAACAGGACCAGAAAACTAAACAGGGCATGTTCTCACTCATCAGTGGGAGTTGAACAATGAGAACACATGGACACAAGAAGGAGAACATTACACACTGGGACCTGTCAGGGGCTAGGGGGCTAGGGGAGGGATAGCACTGGGAGAAATACCTAATGCAGATGACGGGTTGATGGATGCAGCAAACCACCATGGCACATGTATACCTATGTAACAAACCTGCACGTTCTGCACGTGTACCTCAGAACTTAAAGTAAAATAATAATAATAGTAATAATAATAATAATAAAAAGACATTATATCCAGGCACCGTTACCCCAAAATGAAATTGTGTCCTAACTGATAGAAGGTGCAAACACTAGATTTATAAATGAGATGATTTCAGCTAGAAGTAAGAGAAATACTTTTGTGAAAGACAGAATAATTGGCAATAAGGTAAATAAAGGTCCACTGAGGTGGTAAAATTTGAGCTGAGTAGCAACTAAGGAGCATGCTATGTGAAGATCTCTGAAGAAAAAAAATTGCAGGCAGAGGAAAATGCAAGAGTGAAGAGCTTGAGTCAGGAAGCATTTGCAAATAATTGAAAGGCCAGAGGAACGGGAAAATATCTGTTATGGGAGAGTAGCAGAGAATTATATAAGAAAGACTGGCAGTTGGCTAACCATGAAGAATTATAAAATTTTATTTTACTTTCAAGAGAGATTTGAAGCCATGGGGGTAGTTTCAGCAAAGTGATGGCATAATTAATTTGTAATTATCACTTTCACTGCTCTGTAGAAAATGAATTTTAGATGCTTAAGAGTTGAAACACATAGACAAATAAAAATTATTGCGGGACTCGAGGAGAGAAATGATAGTAGTTTGTTTTGATGGTAGAAATAATGGAAATGGTAAAAATGTTCAAGTCAGGATACATTGTGTGATTAGAGGTACATACTCTGGTAATTTGATGGGAGGATGGGGTATTTGTGAGGGAATGAAAAGAACAAGGTTATTATATTTGCTATTGTGTTGATGGTAGCTTTGGTGATGGTAAGGATGATGAGTTAATGGTCCTAGTGACATACACTGGATTTGAATATAATTATAATGGAATTTCTTGGAATTTTCAAAATAAACTTAAAAAAATAAACACCTACAAGGTATACAACAAAACATAAAACATGCGAATTGTAAATATGTGAATACGTCCAGATAAACACCGCCAAATAAAGAAAGAGCAACAATGCCTTTTCATTCTCATGAATCTACATACCTAAACTATGCACTATTCTGATTTCTCTTACCATACATTAGCTTTACATTTTTTGAATTTATGTGTAATATAAATTATCTCACATGCATTATTTTTGTGGGTACTTGATCATTTTGGTAAACATTATGTTTACAAAATTTATCCATTTTTATGACAAACAGTAGTTTGTTTCCATTACTGTTTGATATTTCATTGTATAAATACTAAATTGTATGTATCCATTCTATTATTTATGAATATTTGGGCTATTTCCGTTTCTATTGTAATATAATTGTGTGTCTTTTGATGTATAAGGTATGCATTTCTTTGGAGTATATACATAGATTTAAAATTTCTGGATAATAAAAAGTGCATGTTTTCACCTTTAGTAATTCAAAATTTTTTTTATTATATTGCATGACTCCTATTGGCTTATGAGAGTTGCTGTTGCTTCATATCCATGTCAACAGTTGGTGTTATGGGTTGTTAATTTGAGACATTGTGGCAGGTGTGTAGTGTTATCTTTTCATAATTTTAATTTATATTTTATTTTATTTTTTTTGCCCATTTAGCAAGCACATATTTATTGGGAATGAGTGAAGAAAGTCTGAAAGCATATGGTGTGATCATATAGATGGCTGAGGGCCCTAGATTTCCTTGTAGGTTTGCTTTCACGTGGAGCTGGATTTTGGGCTCAGGGTCATCAGATTCCAAAGCCAAGCCCTGACTCCTATACTATGTTACCTGCTAAAAATAAATGAAGATAGGCTGTTAATTGATTTATTATGCAAGGCCATGAGGATTTGTAAAGAGGTTCCTACTATAAACAATTAATGAGGTTGTGAAGATTTTTAGAAGCTGTTTGCCTATTTAAATATCCTTCCGCTGTTTAAATTTTGCACATTTTTAAGTTAGGTTGTTTGTCTTTTTCTAATCTGTTTAATGTGGGTCATGAGTCCTTTTTTATATAAATCTAGATCTATAATCTAGATCTATATTATTTTTTCTTTCTATAAATCTACTTATAATCCATGGCTTGTTTTTTCAATCTTTGATGATGTCTTTTAATGACTTAAAAGCCTGAAACTTAATATAGCACAGTTTACCAGTGTTATAAGGTATGATTAGAGTTTTATATCTTGTTCTAGAAAACTTTGCCTATCTTAGATCATGAAGATATTTTCCTCTATTTGCTTCTAAATAATTTTTGTTTTATACACTGAAATTTATTTTTATGCATGTTTTGATGCATAAGATATATAATGCGTATATATGTATAAAATCTTTAATTTACTCAAAATCATTTCTTTCCTCACTAAAATGGTGTTTCAATGTTGTCGTTAATTTAGTGCTAATTTTTAAATTCTATTTCTATACTTAATTCCTTGTCTTTGGTCTACTTTCTATGCTCGTACAAATTTCTAGTTTATTACAATTCTATAGCAAATATTTATATCTGGTATTGTATATCACCTAAGCTGCTTCTTTGCATTCAAAACTGTCTTCACTACTCTTGGCTGTTTACTTTTACCTATAAATTCTAAAATCATACTGTCAAATTTTTACTAAAATATTCAAATGACTATAAGTTTTTCTATTTCTTAAATTTTGTCAATTTTAATTTTATTATATACATGTATTATTCATATTATATTATTGGTTACATAATGTTTGCTTTTTATAAACTATTTGACCATTATAAAATATATTTATTTCTAATAATTATGTTTGTCTTGCCTTAGTATTCTTTTCGTCATATTCATGGTATATCTTCATCATTTTTTTTATATTGTCTGTGTTCTCATATCGATTTACATATCATTAAATCATATTTGAGGATTTTGTTTTTTAATTTCATTTGGCAATTTTTGACTATTAATTAGATTAGCTTACTTTAATGTAATTACTAAAATATCCGGGGTAAGCCTTACCATTTTACTTTTTATTTCCTGCTTATTTCACCTCTTCTATGTTTATCTCTTATTCCCTATATTATTTTGGATTATACAAATTATTTGAAATATTATTCAGTTTTTCTCTTTGTTAGTTTCTTAGTTAAATACGATTATAGAATTATTATAGAATTATTATTTGACTTAATGGGATCTACCATAAATGATTAATTTTATTATACTGTACCTTAGATAAACCAGAACCATTGAACACTTTAACTCCATCCACCACATTGTATCATTGTATGACTCATGTTACAGATTTAATTATATGTCTATTAGTGATGCACATGATGTAATTATGTGTTTGGTCAAATACAATTTAGATTTACCTGTATATTTAAGCTTTTTTTTTTTTTTTTTTGAGACAGAATCTGGCTCTGTCGCCCAATCTGGAGTGTAGTGGCGCCATCTCGGCTCACTGCAAGCTCCGCCTCCCGGGTTCACGCCATTCTCCTGCCTCAGCCTCCCGAGTAGCAGGGACTACAGGTGCCCGCCAACATGCCCAGCGAATTTTTTGTATTTTTAGTAGATACAGGGTTTCACCGTGTTAGCCAGGATGGTCTCCACCTCCTGACCTCGTGATCTGCCCGCCTCGGCCTCCCAAAGTGCTGGGATTACAGGCGTGAGCCACCGCACCCTGCCATATTTAACATTGTGATTGCTAGTAATTCCTTTCTGTCTTTCTGTACTTCCATATGGGATCACTTTTTTCTACCTGACTAACTTCCTTCTTCCACTGCAGGTCTGCCGAAAATGAATTATCTTAATTTTTTGTTTGTATGTATTATTGTTTTACTTTTAAGTATATTTTCACTGAGTATGGATTGAAGATCTTTTATTTTAAGCATGTAAAGATATGAATGCATGGTCTTTTGTCTTCCATTGTTTCAATAGACAGTAAATAGAGTAGGTCTTACTTTTTGTTGCCAACATGTCTTTTTGACTGATACTAAAAATTTATCTTGAAATGTGAAGTTTAATGATGTATTTCATAATTTTGGAATATTTTTGGGTTATGATATCTCCAAAAGTATCTTTTGCTGTATTTCTTCCTCTCCCTCTCTTGCTGAACTTCAATTGGATAACATTTTATTATGCATTTTTCCTCATACATTTTGTATGCTCTTTGATGTATTTTATGTATTTTTCCATCTGATTTTCCTTGTGTACTTTGACATGATTACTAACCTATTTTCCAGTTCATTAATTATGTCTTTGTGTCCAATCTGCTATCAAGTCCCTTTGTCATATTCTTTATTTTAATTATTATAATTTTCTGTCTCAAAATTTCGGTATGACTTTTAAAAATATTCTAGTTCTACTTAAATCAATCATGTTATCAATGTTTTTGAACTTATTACAAGTATTTTAGAAGTTCAGTAATATAAGACTAATGTCTGGAACTCATTTGTACATATTTATATGTTATTATGGTTATTTCTTAATTTTAATTTTTTAAAAATATGGATATCATATATGAAAATTTGAAGATGATCTGGATAACTAATTAACACAGAGAATATAAACCTTGTGTTCTGGCAGGCATATTGATTTCAAGATTTCTCAATTCCGTCAGCGACAGAGTTTACTACAGGATACTTTCAAAGTCTGTGAAGCCTAATAAACCTCTATTTAGTCCCCAACCCCAAGGTATAGCCTTTTAAGCTTTCCATCTGGAAGCTTAATATATTCACCAGAAATCCTTCTTGATAGGCCTTAAACTACATTTTCCCCCCAGTTTTATTTAGGAGTGATGAAAGCTCTGCTGAGATTATTATAGACCAATTTTTTTCTTGGCTTCTTAGTCCCCTTTATATTACAGGTGAAATACCTCAAATATCTCAAGCAGAAAAACTGGTGCAGATTTTCATCCTGTCTTCAGTAATATTTTTCTCTCCAAAATGTTGACTTCTTAGTGTTTGTTGGCCCGGTATTTATTACCTTCAAATTTTGTCTCCTCAGAATTATGACATAATTAAAAATTATTCTGGCTATTCTAGCTCTTAATGGGTACCCTTTTTCAGCCTCTAGCACTGATAATGTAGAACTTGGAAAAGTGTCTTGCAGCATGGGGATCTAACCTCAGTAAAATGTGATTTTCTTCCCCAAAATATTAATAAACAATGTCATGGCTATCTCTGATGCTATCCATTTACTAGAATATATATGTTGCTGCTGTTTTTTGTTGTTATCTAGCTTTTGTAGTTTTTCTTGACATAGGTTAATCTGGTAAAAGTTTCTCCATCATAAGCATGACCTCTGGGGTTTTGCCTTTAGTAACTAGTTAGTTGTGCCATTTATTAAAATGTGACATATTCATGCAGAAACACATATGAGGGTGTCAGAAATACATAATTCTATCTTGGGTATGTAAAGTTTGAAATGCCTTTAATACACACAAGTTCATAGGATCAGTCAATAATGGCATGTTTAAGTCTGGTTTATTCCTGAATTCAAGAATTAATGTCCATCATATGCCAGATACTATTCTCATGGCCCAGTAATAAAGACACATTTGATTTAAAAATACATTAAAATATATTTGAATGATGCAAAAATAACTGTATATTTTATGAATTATGCTTTTACATGTTTTGGATAACATAAAATCTGCTATAATGTTTTTTCATAATTTATAATTTTCTTACTGAATATTTCTAGTTATTTCTTATTATGTGATGGTTTATAGCTTCATAGCACTTTTTGTTTCTCTGAAACATACTTAATATATAACATATTTAATATTATATAGTTAGATTAAATAATTGCTTCCAATAGGGCTTTGAAAGCCATTTTGAGAAATGTTTATGAAAAAGTATTGATATAATAATTGGGGTCTTGTATTTGCTTGTTCAATTGTACCTCTCCACTACATCCTGTCCTGCTTAGCATAAAGTGTGGCTCTTCCATGAATCCTAATGAATTATATGACTTCCTCTAAACTTTACAACAACTCCGTAAGGAAGTTATTACATTTATATTTGTATTTTTCAAAAAATTGAAGCATACAGGTTAAAAACTTGGGCAATTTCCTAATTTTTACAAACATGCAAAAGACCACACATGGAAAGCTGGGACATGATATGTGGAATAGGGAGAAGTAGAATCAGAGCCGACTGTCACTTGCATAAACATTAGAAATAAATGAAAATGTTACTGATTTAATATCCTTAAATATTAGAAAATACACACTTGGAATATTCATTAATAATTTTTAAATATATAAAAATCTGTTATTTATTTTTCACTCACACTGTTTTTTTCCAATATTAATGCTTTATTAGTCCTTCTTTCAATTGTTTTTTTAACTCATCACTTATGCTGCACCAGATATTATAATAAAATTATACCTGGTCGTGTAAATTAAGTATGTTATGGGTTGAATGTTTGTTTTCCCCTAAAATTAATAGGTTGAAGCCCTAACCTCCAATGTGATGATATTTAGAGATAGGACTTTTGGGCTTATGAGGTTTAGATGAGGTAATTAGGATTAGGTGATGATGAGGGGGCTCTTGATGGAATAAGTGCCTTATAAGATGAGACGGGAGAGCTAGCTTTCACTCTCTCCACGATGTGAGATAGAGCAAGAAGGCAACAGTCTGTAAGCCAGCAAGTGGACCCTTTCCAGAGCTTGACAATGCTCACATCATAATCTCAGACTTCCCAATGTCTAGAACAGTGAGAAGTATATTTCTCTTGTTAACACCCCCCATCGTGTAGCAGGCCAAGCCAAATACTATGCTACTTACAGTAAATATGCATTATACATACATTCCTATACAAAATATCTGAGTGCCACCAGAGGACCCCTAAGAAGTACAGAGCAGTGGTTCTTAAAAATTAAAGTATGTGAGAATCACCTGGAAGATTTAATAAATTACTGATTGATGGCTCACCTCAAGTTTTTTATTCAGTACACCTAGTATGTTTTTGAGAATTTGCATTTTTGCAGAGTTCCCAGGTGTTGTTACTATTGTTGATCTGTGGACTCTATTCTGAAAACCAATGCTCTAAACCAGGTGTCAAAATATATTTTTAAAAACGATTTATTATTTTAAAACCTGTCAAGCATTCAAGTTTGCCTTGGCTAGCTTTGTAATTTAAAGTGGTTTGCCAGAATATGTTCTTAAACATTCTGCAATACTTAAAACATTTATCTGGTGGCAAAATAAGTCACGTTTAAATAGAAACAAAAGGATGATGAGACTCCTAAAAAGACTAAAAATATTCAGTTTAATATTTCAACTCTCTCACACATAAAAAAAAGTGTGCTGATAATAGAGCTTTATCTCCTGCTATCTTCACTCCTAGAAATATAGACTAGAAAAACAAGAATGCATGCCTAATTTTGATGCATAAGTGTCTTTTTCTTCTTACAGGAACTTATTTATATAGGCATTTGAATTTTGGATTAAACGTTTTGTTTCTTTCCCTTTGAGAATTCAAGATATATAAACACTTGAGGTTTTTGAGAATTTGTTGAATGAGAGATAAATGTGTATACTTCCCTTTAGAGCTATCACTAAATATATGACCAAACCACCAAATAAGATTTTCTCTGAATTTATTAGACGATCTGTATAAGGAAAAAACTGCTCAAATTAAAATTTGTTTGAAATTTTTATATGAATGAGATTCCAAACATACTTCTTAGAGAAAGTGCTACTGATAAAAATATACCATAAAATGTTAAAAAATACTCGAAAGACAAGATATATCTATTTGCCTTCTTCTGTAAAAGACTTGAAACACACATTTGCTCACACATAATACAAGTTTTCATTACAAACAATTATCACTACAAAATGATAAAGAAAAAGAAAAATATAAAGAAAAAGTGAGCAAAGTTTATAGAGTAGGCAAAAGAAAGGTATATGGTCAGTAAATAAGGAAAAAACGTATTTCCACACTATTTTAGAAAGGGAAATCAAACAAAATGCCTTTGATTGTGTATAAAATGCAATGGCGATTAATTTTCCTTCCTTTTAAGTCTTCAACAATTAAAAACAGAAGTATTGATGACATCCAGCTCTATTGACATAGCAGGTAATAAAACATTTTCAAAGGGTAATCTGGCAATATTTATTTAAATTATATATAAATGCTATGTCATTTACTCCTACTTCAAACTTTTGGAAGCCTAGCTTGAAACAGTACAAGCACAAGCTGAATGAATACCTGCATGCAGACATTCATGAGATGTTAATTTGTAAAAGAAAAAATAAGAAGAGAAACTAGAAACAACTCGAATGCCCGTTAAATTGGAAAGATTGAATACATTATGATGTAGCTGGTAGATATCATACAGCTATTGAATATAACTATATATGTTATATCCTTATCAGATGCACAAATACATATTTGTACACAAATAACAAGAGTAGGGGGATGAAATAATTGTTAGCTATTCTTCAAATCTCCAAAACTGTTAGTTTACAATGTTTCACCTCTTATATACCTCCTCCAACAATTTATGTATTGTTAAATTTTCTGAACATTATATTCCAGACATCATTTTAACAGAACTTAAATTCTTTTTTCATCTTTATCATATTCTATTATTTAGCTCATTAATGGATTATTCATCTTAATACTAATTGTATTAATTTCCATGCTTTCTTCCATGAAGATAGTTTCTAAATTGCTTCTTTCTTATAGCATCCCGATCTTGCTTTATGGATATCAAATCCAGCTGTTCTATTGATTCATCTTGATCCTCCTTTTTTTTTTTTGTATTTCTAAAAATGTTTAGTAATTTTTTAATGTTTCTTCATATTTGCAAATAAAAACCTCTGGTTTATTTAGATAGCTGTAGGAGGTTTTTGTTTTTGTTTTTGTTTTCTCTACAGCCTTATACCACTACTGGGCAATGCCTACGGTAAAATATGGACCAGAGGACCAGGGTTACTGACATGTGGCTTCATCAGAGAATAAGTGGAAACTCTGGATCTCCCTGCACTGTCAAAATAACTTTTCTCTAAGAATTGTTAACTGTATTATATTTTCTGTTAAGCAAAGTTGTATTGCCTTACCTTGCCTTTCTTTCAACCCATCTCTTTAAGAGGGCCATCAAATTGAAATTGAGTCCCTTAATTACTCGGATAATTTTTGTTTGTTTGCTTGTGAGACAGAATCTCTCTCTGTCGCCCAGACTGGAGTGCAGTGGCACTATCTCGGCTCACTGCATGCTTCGCCTCCCGGGTTCACGCCATTCTCCTGCCTCAGCCTCCCGAGTAGCTGGGACTACAGGCGCCCGCCACCATGCCCGGCTAATGTTTTGTATTTTTAGTAGAGTTGGGGTTTCACCGTGTTAGCCAGGATGGTCTCAATCTCCTGACCTCCTGATCCACCCGCCTCGGCCTCCCAAAGTGCTGGGATTACAGACGTGAGCCACCGCTCCTGGCCAATGACTTGGATAATTATAAATGCCCATGTCCTATCTTTCTTACTAGTCAATGATCCCTCATTTAGTACACTTTTGGCACTCCTTATGAAGAACCTTACTTATCTCTGGTAAATTTTTCTCTGCTTTCATTTCTTCACCAATGTGATTTCACAAGTAGTTGAACAGCCTGAAATGTATTTAAAAATTTCAACTATTTATGGATCTTCCAGTTTTTAGCTCTTTGACTGGATATTCTCCATGTTTGTTTTAAGCTGAGGATGCCATTCTAGACCCATTCATTAGCCAACTCTACCTTCTCTACAAATCATAATGTTCATTCTGAAGAGCTCCACTTTACCTGTTAATTACACAACACTGTCCAATTCTCATTCTTTCTAGCTTCTAACTTAGCTTACTGCTCTGATGATAGCCTTACTGGTATATTCCAGGGCACAGTTTTGTATTATTGTAATCTTGATCGTGATTCAGAGTCTTTTTATTCAGTTTCTCTATGTGAAATACTACTGATTTCCTTTGACCACAGAATCTGGGTGCCATCCACTTGTGGTTGATGTTTTCTGGGAATTAGCCACTGTCCTGCAAGCCGAAACTGTTCAGTGATATTGATTACACCACTCTGGGGAGGCCTGTTCTGTGTAAATACAATTCTTTATTCTCCAGCAATGCCTTGAGGCATGATATTTGCCAAAACAATATTTATCCACGGGCACTTCATTTTAGTGGCAAGGTTAGGAAATATATTTTTCACACCATTTTTTATAAGTGCTCACTTCACTTAGCAAATCTTTAAAGCATGATTCAACTTTTATTGGTTTTCTGTTGCCAATGCACAATTATAAAATTTGGTGCCAATACTGAAAGATATTCCTAATCCTACCTGCAAGTCAAGAATCACTGAGCATTTCAATTTCCTTAGAGAAGTAATAGGCTTAAGGAGCTTGCAGGTAGGGAGATAATATCACAGAAAACTCACAAAGATTGTATAGTTATTGACAGTTCTGAAGATCCTAAGGGACAGCAAACTCTTAAAAGGGAAATTTGCTAAGGGAATTGATAAAGTAGATGTTTGATTTGTCAAGTGACTAAAAATATCTCTACCAAAATAAAATCAGTGTAAATCGGACAAAAGAAGTGGACACGAGCTAAAAGCTACTCAATATTGTGAACATAATTAGATTTATTGCATGCATGTACATTCAGAGATAGATACAATTAACCTTATTTGTTCTGTGATTTCTATCTTGCAGTTTGAAATCTACCATTTGTGAGTAATTTTCTTAAAAGCATAATCAGATTAAATAGGTATTGTCAGTGATTGCTGCCAGCTGGACTTTAGTATGTACCGGTCTTAATTTAAGAATGATTAACTTCCACTCCATAATTTCATTGTTTAATGTTTGCCAATTGATTCCCCCACACTGACTAACAAACAAGCCTCTCTGTTTTTAAAGCTTTTTACTTTGATTTTTTTTCACTGCTTTATGTGGTTGATGTGATCCTAGCCACAAGAAAACGAGCTCAGGGCAGGGGATATGCTCTGTGAGAATTTGCAAATTATCCAAAGGAGGCCCTGAATCCCTGCCCATTCAGAGAGTTTTGGGATTATTTTTTTGGTTATGGTAAAACTGCAGTGGCATATAAAATTATATGCATAAGAGCTTAATCATTTCATAATATACCTGAATTATCTTTAAAGATAATTTTTTTTCTTCCTCAGAAACTGATGGCTTTAGGTAAAAAGCCTTAGCTTGGCACACAAGTCACTTTGAAGCACTTTGGACTGCTTCCCAGATCTGCTGTTCCTCATTTTTTGCTATATAGTGACATCAGCATTTCATATTTCAATATTTATTTAAGGAAAAAGTGCTTTTCAAAGCTAAATAAACAATGATATCATTAAATTGGCAACATTGAAAGAATAACAAAAACATCTTTATATGCATTATGTCCTTTCATATCCGAAGAGACACAAGGAGAAGATGGACACATACAAACCAGGGAGAGAGGCCTGGAACAGTTCTTTCCTTCACAGCCTTCAGAAGAAACCAACCCTATTGACATATTAATTTTGAACTTCTAGCCTCCAGCACTGTGAGATAATAAAATTCTGTTATTTGGGCCAAAAAAAAAAAAAAAAACTGTAATAGAGAAACAAAAAATGACTTTATTAATCAAACATAGTTCATAAAATTGGTAACACAAAAAAGGCTCCTCTCAAGCTGGAAAATATGCATGTTGTTACTTCTCATTTTTCAAATGTGACTTATTAAATATCACAAAATTAGGTACATCTCATATTTCTTAAAAATGCTTTGCATTTACAACTTGAGGAAATATTCTTTGTGGAAAGCTTATGCAGCAAATTTTGGTTGGTTGATTGGAAATTGGACACATACATTGACACAACAAACTGGTAGATATATTCCTTATGTGATGTTAGATTTATTATAAGTAATTAAACTTTTATGTTAGTGTGTTATGTAAATTGTTATAGGTAAGTATATTTTGAAAATGTAAAGATAGAATACATTTTTTCAAGCTTTATATATTTTAAAGGCATTTTTTGTATCCATGGTAAGTTGAGCAAGTCAGAAAATACTTAAATTTTCACTGCATGCAAACTTGGGGTTCATAGTGCTCTTGCTGGTTGTTATGAGAACTAACAAGAAGCGCAGTGTATATTCCTTATTAAGAAGTAAAAGATACTGATAGAAAATTTAAAAACCCATAAGTACAAAATTAAATTACAGTTTAAGTAAACAATTCATGAGAATGTTATATGAGATAGAGAAATGGGAGTCCTATAGGAAAATGATTCATTTGAGAGACTGGTCAAAGTCTTTGCTCCATCAACCACTCTGAATCAAATAGTTAAACCACTTTGTTGTTGTTGTTGCTGTCGTTGTTGTTTTAATGCTTTTAAGTTCAGGGATACAAGTGCAGGTTTGTTACATAGGTAAACTAGTGTCATGGGGGTTTGTTGTACAGATTATTTCATCACCTAGGTATTAAGCCTCATACCCATTAGTTATTTTTCCTGCTCCTCTCTCTCCTCTCACCCTCCACCCTCTGATATGCCCCAGTGCATGTCGTTCCCCTCTATGTGTTCTCATTATTTAGCTCCCACTTACATGTGAGAACATGTGGCATTTGGTTTTCTTTGAGAACATGTGGCATTTGGTTTTCTTTTCTTGTTAGTTTGCTAAGGATAATGGTCTCTCGTTCTATCCATGTCACTGCAAAGGACATGATATCGTTCTTTTTTATGGCTGCAGAGTATTTCACTTTTTCTGTAAAGTCTTCTGCACTTTTCTGGAATTCCTCTTGGTAGCATAAAATAAAAATCCTTTGGAAATCACTGGTTTATTTTAGATAATTAGTTCTGGTGTGTGAAGATCAGGTAATGTCCCTAGGAGCATTCTCTTAATAAATTAATTAATATAAACTAATAAAACTCAAAGAGACATGCTAGAAATGTATAGAAGTTACTATAGAAAAAGTGAAATAGTATTCAGCCAAAAAAATGGGCATTTAGGTTGATTCCATGTCTTTGCTATTGTGAATAGCAATATTGTGTGCTCCAGTGAACACACATGTGTATTTTGTCTTTATAATAGAATGATTTAGTAGACAGGAAAGACATATTTGAGGAAAAATGATTCAAAAATTACTTTTGATTAATAAAGTGTAAGTTGTCGTATTACTTCAAGTATGTCTTCCCTGAACACAAATTGTCCATAATGACATATTATTTTACTTCCAAATACAAATATGTAATCCCTTAGGCACCACATTATGTGTGTATATATATGTATATATGTGTGTATATATATATACACACGTGTATGTGCCTATATATATGTATATATATATAGGCATGTATGGATCCATGTTTTTATACATGCATTCAGTCCTCCTAATTATGCTATATTCTTACACTGGAGACCTTTATATTACACCTTTTGTTTACCTATTACCAAGTAGATCTTATTATATGTGTTAGGCACTCTGTAAATGTTTGCTGATCAAACACAATATACTTTAATTGCAAAAGATGTACTTTGTGACATGTGCCCTGTCCCGAGCCCCTTGAAAAGGCAGTCCTTGTGCCATATAAGCCTCTCTCTAGATAAAGACCTAGCCATGAGGCAAATAATCCATAGATATTCTAATAACCTATGACATGTAAGAAGACAAGACCACCAAATTCTACCTATGGATAATTTAAATTGAGTAACACAGAAAGACTTACTCTCCGGAGTGAGCTGTGGGTAACCAGCTGGGTCATAATGAAGACTCAAACTGGGGTCATATTTTGCCAAAAGTGAGATACTTATGTGGAGGGAGCTGGTTGAGAGAAAAAAGAGGTTGAAGTATACAAGAAAGAACAAGTAGCCCCAAAGAAATGCTCTGTTTTAAGTACTAGAGGCTTTTGAGACAAGATTCAGTTTGCAACAATTTACCTGTTTAATTTTTTGCCTGGTGGAGTGGAGAAAAGATATAACTAACTATCTTTGTACAATTTAAAGGGGAAAAAAGTCCCATTACATTATTTTAATGAGATAATCTTGAATAAGCCCCTCCTACCAGTTGAGAATCACTGACCGAATAGATAAAAATTAAGGTCATTTTTTAGATCTCATGATTTAATTTTATTAGAGCAAATAAGACAGGACAGCACTTTTTCTTAGTGAAAGTTAGTACAGAAATTCAAAATAGAAATATATAAACACTTTCTTATCTATTTTAGATTGATAAATGTGTATTTAAACTTAAATGTATATACCAAATCAGGCCGGGCGCGGTGGCTCACGCCTGTAATCCCAGCACTTTGGGAGGCCGAGGCGGGCGGATCACGAGGTCAGGAGATCGAGACCATCCCGGCTAAAACGGTGAAACCCCGTCTCTACTAAAAATACAAAAAATTAGCCGGGCGTAGTGGCGGGCGCCTGTAGTCCCAGCTACTTGGGAGTCTGAGGCAGGAGAATGGCGTGAACCCGGGAGGCGGAGCTTGCAGTGAGCCGAGATCCCGCCACTGCACTCCAGCCTGGGCGACAGAGCGAGACTCCGTCTCAAAAAAAAAAAAAAAAAAAAAATGTATATACCAAATCAAATTCTAGAAGTCAGTTCCATAAAAAAACAAAATAAATATGCATGCATAAAATTGCACAGCTTGCTAAATTATCCCTATTTAATATCTTCCACTTATGTCTGAACAACCAACTCATAAGCTATATTTTCAGTAGCTTTTGAAGTTTAATTGAACATAAGATCTAAACACATTTTAAGCTTTTTTATTGTTTAAGAATAAGTTCTATATGGCTTGACAGGATTAAAACAATAAACTCCAATCATTCTCTGAACCAGTTTGGTTCAGAGAATGGGTAATTTCTGATTGAGTTTCCTTTAGATGATCAACATAATCTTTCATAAATGTCATATGATGAATTGTTAATAAAAAAGTTACAATGTTAACACAATTCTAGAAAGAATATCTAAATAAGTCAAATTGATTTTAAGGTGGAAATGCCATGTACAACATTTATACTCTAGGTAATTAAACTCATCACTGGCCAGAATGTGTCAAGAAGAGCCATTTAAGTGATAAAATTTTCAATTTAATTCTGTAAATATTTATTGGGCAATTACAATGTGCAAACCACTGTGTAAAATTCAGTTAAGAAGACAAGATATAAAAGACAAGATCTTTGCCCTACATTCTGTAAAAAATGTAAGCAACAATATAAGCTTACAGTTGTTATCTTTCATATTAGCTACAGACATCTTTCCTGAATTATTATAGTTTTCAAAGTATAATCCATATTTTCCAAACTGTGATTATCTTTTGTCTCCTAAAGGAAGTAAATCATAAGAACAGGTTCAAGAGATGATTCAATGATTTTCTTAAAGGAACCAAGTCCTGAGAGAGTGGTTATAAAAAAGCTAACTCTAAAAAACAGGGCTTCTCACTTGTGGTTTTGTATGCCCCATGTGATATATTCCCTTCGTCTAAATTGCTACCTTGAGAAATCAAAAGCCATTGTCTTGGCAGTATGTAGAGGACATTAAGAATAGTTACATAGAGGTAACTGTACAGGTTCAGCTTAACAAGTATGGCCAATTTGTGAGAGAAAAATGGGTTGTGACATTTTCAATGAAAAAGCAAAGGAAAACATGATAAAGAAATAACAAGCATTCTTCAAAAAAGATGAACATACTTTTGCCTTACTTTTCTACCAAAATGTGGTGAGGACATTGAAATTCTTTAGTTTACCGAACTGTGTTTATTTCCAATTGAGTCTCGGCAAGTTGGGGTTCAGCATTCAGGACATAGAGTTAAGATAATGTTATTATAGATTATGTGTTGAGTATGATTTTCAGCATGTTTTTGTTTGGCTAAAATACTCAGAGAATCCAAAACAAAACCATTAAAGTAGGCACATTATTACAAAAGTGAACACTGCTTATAGCTTTGCTAGGGTTTCCTGTGATACATTTATTTTTATGTAAGCCTGATCTTTATTCTAATATAAAATATTTACTTCAAAAATAAACCAAACATTTCCAGGAGACATGGCTGTATCTACATATCATTAAATAAATAGATATTATATTGTATTAGTTTACCAGGGTTGCTGCAACAAAGCCACTGAGGGGCTTCAACAACAAAATTTATTTTTTCACAATTCTGGACAGTAGAAGTCAAAGAAAAAAGTGTCAGCAAGGTTGGTTTTTCTCTGAGGACTCTCATTTTGGTTTTTGTGTAGATCTTTGTCCTCTTCCTGTTCCTTCATAAGGTCTTCCTTTTGTGTGTCCTAATCTTTCATTTTATTAGGAAACTAGTTGTATTGGATTAGATCCCACTCTGATGACCTCATTTAAACTTAATTACTGCTTTAAACACTCTATCTCCAAATACAATAATATTCTCAGCTACTAAAAGTTAGTACTTCAAGCTAGAAAAAATTTAGGATGGGGAACGCAAGTCAGCCATAACATGTTTGAAATACATAGTTCCTTCTTTAGATTAATGTAATATTGCACCTCAAGACCTCTTTATTTCTAATGTAAAAATTATTGCTATAATTAACACCCTTTATTTTTTCATCTATTGATGTAGAAAATATTCTTTTTTGAGCATATGTAAAAATCAAATTATATTACATATTACACAAAACATCTAAAAATTATATATTGATCAAAATGGTCTTAGGTACAATAAATCTAAAGAAAACATAATTAAATAAATTAAATTTACATACCTTTTGAAATATGCAGTATGATCAAGTAATGTTTATTCTAGCAGGGTAAGACTTGGTCAAGTAGGGAAATATATCAACATAAATTTTTAAATAAACAAATTAAAGTATATATAAAACCATTTACTTCTGGATGATGACAAATCACACAATAAAACTTGGTAGCTATTCCTAATTTCCATCTCTAGTGAACAGGAAATTAAAAAATTAAATATAACAAAATGCATTCTCCTAGCCAAAATCAATTAGTAATGGTGAAAATAATAAATTTGATAGGATCAAAATTAGAGAAAATATTATTTTGGCTATTATTTAACTGAAATCCACAAGGATGCTGATGGTTAGAGCCAGTTAAGGTACATTTCATATGTCCTAAAGAGGGTGTCCCCCCATGAATGAACGCTCTTCAGAATGTCAAGTACTGTCTATGTCTTTAAATTCAATTTTGTGTTGTACTAGCTAATTCTGGAAAACAAGAAAAGAACATTTTCCATAGTACATTCCATTCTATTTTAGTGCCATAAAATAGAATTCTAAGCATTCTATTATAAGGCAGCAACAACAATTAGAGATCATTTTAAAACTTCATTTAAAATACTGGCAAAAACGGGCGCGGTGGCTCACGCCTGTAATCCCAGCACTTTGGGAGGCCGAGGCGGGTGGATCATGAGGTCAGGAGATCGAGACCATCCTGGCTAACAAGGTGAAACCCCGTCTCTACTAAAAATACAAAAAATTAGCCGGGCGCGGTGGCGGGTGCCTGTAGTCCCAGCTACTCGGGAGGCTGAGGCAGGAGAATGGCGTGAACCCGGGAAGCGGAGCTTGCAGTGAGCCGAGATTGCGCCACTGCAGTCCGCAGTCCGGCCTGGGCGACAGAGCGAGACTCCGTCTCAAAAAAAAAAAAAAAAAAAAAAAAAAAAAAATACTGGCAAAAATAAAAATTCCTAAAAAATTATACAGAAAATATCGAGGCCCTGTACGAATAGGGCAACAAAATTATTAAAGTAAATAAATGTACCTGAGTTATAGTGAGAGGTGTGCAGTTTTTGTGGTTTTGAAGGCAATTTCAAAATATCAATTCTGTTAAATAAATATAGGAATTTACTGAAATGACAATGATAATTCAAGAGTGGTTTCTTGAAATTGTTATAAGTGACTCATAAGATCAAAAAAAGAAATACACATCTTAGAATTTTAATTGGATTTTTAAAAAATATCCACAAATTATTGAAGACTCAAAATAAAATTAGTATAATGAAATCAACTAGCATTATAATAGTAGTAAACAAATAGAACTGAGAAAAGTTAGTACATCAATGAGGAATAATGATTAATTTATTTAGCTATAATTGATGAAATTATGGGAAAGAAAAATCAAAGGTGTACGCCCAGATACACTGTATATAAAATAAATAATTTCTGTTCATTTTTAGATATAGTTATTGAAAATAAAACTATAAAATATTAGAAAAATTAAGAAAAATGAACGTAAATGGTTCTAGTGGAAAAGGTCTGATTAAGGAAAACAGAAAACACAAAAGCCATAAAATAATATATTATTAATTATATTTTTCTGTATGGAAGAACAAACAAATCAGATGACAAATTAATTATACTCCAAATAACTGCTTGTGATCTATAACATACACAAAGGATTAATATCACAGTATGAAAAGATTACTCAGAAATCTTCCAGGAAAACACAAGCAGAATTTTAAGTAGGCAATTCTTAATGGAAATGTAAAAATATGTTTAAAAACTAGTAGGTAAGCATTACTACATATATTATATTATTTTTAAAATCACATTTTACTTTGTGTTTTATAAGTGATTTTACCCTGACTGTATCTTATTTTAATCTTACATAAATTAATGTAATAAAGAAAAGCTTATAAGTTATTTTTACCCTAAAGATATCTGCATAATAAGAGGGAATGCTCCCTAAATCCTTCAAGGAAGTGAATATTGTTCTAATACCAAAACCAGAAAAGGATATAACAACAACAACAAAAAACTACACACCAATATCCCTGATGAACATAGATGCGGAAATCCCCAACAAAATACTAGCGAACTGAATTCAACAGTATATCAAAATGATAATACACCATGATCAAGTCTCATCAAGGATGCAGTGCCGGTTTAACATAAGCAAGTCAATAAATGTGATATACCACTATACCACACAAACATAAGTAAAAACAAAAATTATATGATTATCTCAATAAACACAGAAAAAATATTTTGACAAAATCCAGCATCCCTTTAGGATTAAAACCCTCAGCAAAATCAGCATAGAAGGGACACAGCTTAGGGTAATGAAAACCATCTATGACAAACCCACAGCCAACATTATATTGAATCGGGAAAAGATGAAGCATTTCCCCTGAAAATTGTAACAAGACAAGGATGCCCACTTTCACTGCTTTTATTCAGCATAGTACTGGAAGTCATAGTCAAAGCAATCAGACAAGAGAAATAAATAAAAGTCATTAAATTGACATTATTTCTTTAAAAGAAACATAGATTCCTCTCCACATTTTGGGACAGTTAAGTACATTAAGTAATTTATTAAATTTTTGTTTTAATTATATGTTAACACAAGATTATATGAAGGACAATATTGTTAACATCATTTCTATATAGTTAAAAAAAAACTATATTTACCACTAATTTGTAATAATCCTTAAAGCAAAAATTATTTGGCAAAAGCAATATGACACAACATGAAGACAAGATTCTTCTCATACTGTGGCATCAATTGACAACTCCATATGACTTTTGTTCAAAAACGTACGTCCAGAAGAACAATGTCCCTTTATAGGACACAATTATAAACCATATTTTACTTATTTGCTTTACATAAAACAATGTACATAATGTATATCTGAATTTACTTTTATTTTAATGATAAAATATTGTTAAAACTTTGTCACTGTTATTTTATATTTCTATGGCATATGGTCTCATACATGTGCTTATTTGTCCAAATACTTGCATAATAATGAAAGATGAACAATTATTTTTGTTCTGGACCAGGAGTCAACAACACACAAGTTACATCCCACAGGTTATATCCAGCCAGCAGCTTGCTTTAAATCTGGCCTAAGAACTAAGAATGGTTTTACATCTTTAAACCACTGTAAAAACAATGAAAGAAAACAAAATTGAAGAAGAATATATGATAGAATTGTATGAGTTGAAAAACCTGAAATATTTGCTACCTGACCCTTCACAGGAAAAAAAATGCCAGTTTCTACAATAAGTAATTACAAATCCATCACATCTGAAGCTAAATTATGTTCCAAAAGTTTACAAAAATCTATTTTTATACGTACTTTGTTATTATCATTTCCACAAAGTTAATACACAAATTATAAAAATATTCAGACTCTTGCGAGTCTCAACTATGTTGTAACATTCAAATAGCAAACCTTTGTCATGCAAGGAAGTATGGTGCCAGTTTGTGACTGTGAATTAGTTACTTATCTAGTCTAAGCTGCATTTTCTTCATCTGTGACATGGGAATGATGGCGATAACCCCTGGGTGGTATTTTGATGTTCATTGAATTAATATAGGCTAATTACTTAATACAGTGACTCACACATAGTAAGTAACCCAAGAATACCAGTTTTGCTTCCCACATTTTTACACTGATTCATTTTATATATTCATTTAAATTATGGAGATAATACAACCATAAAAATTAGAGTTCTACCAGCAGGAATGGACAAAAGCAGTTTCTTTCTTAAAATGCAAAAAAAAAAAAACAATAGTGCTTGTGCCAATATAGAATTATATTAATATAGTAAAATAAAAAAGTTTATTATAAAGTTTATTATATGACTAATGTGCTGTGTTTGATGCATATGGTTAACAGTGGAATATTTTGAAATTATTCTGGTCAATAAATTTATATATATGAGGGACATAAAATTACCTATGGGACTTAGTCACTAATAGAATGGAGAAAATTTCTCTGTGTTTTTCTCATTGTTAACTGTGTATTGAATAATAACTAATGGCTATAATTGCTCACAATTGTTAAATACTTTACATGTTAGTCTTCTGCTGTACAGAATACTTCTCACACATTATTGCACTTAATCTTTAAAAATCCTTTGAATTAAGTATTATTACCCTCATTTTAAAGATGAGAGAATTGAAGCTTAAAAAGTGTAAGTGATTTGCGCTGGATCTCACAGCTATTAACTGATGGAGTCAGAATTAAAATCAAAGAAATCTGACGCAGAACCCGTGCTCTTCACTGTGCTAAACCATTGCTGAACTGATAGAAACCTGTCAACAGTTAATTTGAAGTTGCTTATTAAAGCTCTTCTAATTTTAGATAGTATATTAATTTAAATAGTTTAACTCTAAAATATAGGGAAATGGGAGAAAAAGAAAAATATGTGAAATAATATGTGAATAATATGTGAAAAATATGTGAAAAATATGGGAGAAAAAGAAAAATTATTTGAAATAATTCTATGCCTATTGAAAGAGTAGGCAATTCAGAAAGAACAGGCATAAAATATAATATTAGAAAAGTATAAAAGAGGTTTTGTAAATTGTTGTTGTGGTCTGTTTTTAAAAGATTAGCCATTAAAAAAGGATAAGTTCATGTCCTTTGGAGGGACATGGTTGAAGCTGGAAACATGATTCTCAGCAAACTAACACAAGAACAGAAAACTAAACACTGCATGTTCTCACTCATAAGTGGGAGTTGAACAATGAGAACACATGGACACAGGGAGGGAAACGTGACACACTGGGGCCTGTCACGGGGTGTGGGGTTGGGAAAGGGATAGCATTAGGAGAAATATCTAACGTAGATGACGGATTGATAGGTGCAGCAAACCACCATGACACGTGTATACCTATGTAACAAACCTGCACGTTCTGCACATGTACCCCAGAACTCAAAGAATGTTTTAAAAACATTAATCTTTTAAAAGAATAATACTGTTTTAGATATAAGCAAATATGACAAAGCAAATATGTATTTCAAATTTCTGGTTTGATATAGAGTAGTTGGATTTTCAAACAACCACATTAAATTATAACACCACTTTCTAAATATATTTATTCCACAGATTCCTTCTAGCAGTTTTTATAGATAACAAATAATTATAGATTATTCAGTCACTGCATGAAAATGCCTGACTTGTTTTGTCCTCAAAATTATCCTCACATAGTGAAAAATAATTATTCTTGATTTCCAACCGTGTAGGCTTTTTTGTTTAAATTAAGGACCCAATTGAATGTTCTAGTAATCAGATTATTTGTGGATTTTATAAAAAAATATATATATATATTTAAAATATTAGTGTGCCTGTTTATTTTCTCGCTCAAAGAAGCATCAGGGCAAAAGGTGAATTTTGTGTGTATACGAATCAATATTAGTAAGCTCTAGAGTGCAGTATCCACTTTCCAGACCCTTGCAGGTATCTGGCACATCTCATTGGAGGATATTAAGAAATGATCTCCAAGTTCAGTGAGTTCTCCAGGCCTGAAGCCCTTTACTTGAATTTCAAAGTGAGAATTTTATTCAACAATTAATTTCTTTGCTCTTGCCTTGCTGCATACTTAGCTATTGCTACCAAAATATATGAAATAATCTTACAAACTATTTTAGAAAAAAATAATTTCATATAAAGCAAGATAAATGGCTTTCAGGGATTCTTCCCAAAAAAAAGAATCTCGCAAAAAGAATGGCAAAAAATATCAATATTCTTTTTTTCCACTGCCTGGCTGTAACTTTTATCACCCTTTGCAATAACGGGCCAATAAGTTTTAATTTTTTATTATTAAGACAATCATGTATTTTATGAAGCACTTAATATAACAGCTTTATTCAAGAACAATATTAATATAATAACAAATACAATCCTTCTCAGATCCATTTGAAGAGCGTATCAGAAACAAAGTAAAAGGAATTTAAAAGCATGTGCAATGGGAGTAAAGGATTTAGAGTTACATAGTTTAGAATGGGGCACTTGGCAACTGGAGTTTAAATCAAATGGACTGCACAAATGTAAAGTCTACCCAGCAGAGAATTGCAATAATAAAGTTATCTATTAGTTCTGAAAGCTATGACTAGATATCTAAACTAATTTTCTTCTATTGCCGTCTTAGATGATCAATGGGGTTAGGTGTAAATGTTCTAGTTAGATGATGAGAAGCTATTATTCTTGAACTTATTATTGTTATGTAGCAACCAAAAATATAACTACCTTAACATTTTGAGTAACATCAAATTTAAAGAGAAGTAAGCTTGTTTCATCAGTAGCAGAATTTATTTAAAATAATGAGATTAAATTAAAAATTCTAACTCAATGACAAGCCAAGTTTTCAGAAATGTTTAAGTCTAATTTTGACAGTTTTACTGCATTTCCAGTTATCACTAAAACTCAAGAATGAAAGATTAAATTTGCTGTAAAGTTTATTTTATTTCATTCTTTCTTTTATAATTAGAAGTTTTAAGATATATTTCATCACATTGAAGTTGAGATTTTACATTAATTACTTTCCCCGGTGTTTTTATTGTACTCTAGACTATAAAATTTACCTGAGGGGAAAAGGCTATCTCTGTTAGATTCACTAATATTTTTTCAGTTTTTAGAACAGTATCTGGAATGATATATATGTTTGTTAAATAAAGAATGAAAAATGAACATTATGTATAATGTTATATCAGGTATAAATAGTTAAAAATTCTCTTAAGAAAATTAAAATGGGTAATGGACCAAAAGTATAGGAAGGAGGTATAAAGAAAGAAAACAGCACATATCAATGTGAGTAATACAATCACATAATTACTATTTTACTTTATAAGAAGGTCTACCGAACATAAAATACTTAAAGAGCTAAGAAAATATGGTTCTTTTTTTTTTTTTTTTGGGTAAACATTGAAAGTCTAAGTCCATCAGGGAGAAAGATGTCAAAAATTGTGTAGCTCAGTTCCCTTAGGTTTATGAAAATAGGGACTTTTTACTTTGGGTACCTAAAGCCTGAAATTTGCCATGAATCATCAAATATTCACTTAAATAGACTGTAATATTAAGTTATAAAATATTACATAGGACATTCTGTTACATTGTCCATCTCCAGAACTAAACATTTAGATAAAAGTACCATTATCACAATAATTAATTCGTAACCAAGACAGTTCCAATTTTTGTTTAGTTCTAACTCAATTCAGATGGGTATCTAGCTAATATTGCCTAAAATCATATGGTGGGTGTTCTCTCAAACTGGAGAACCCAAAAGGAGAACTAATGTCAGTGCTGTTTAAAGGTTTGTTTACATTTTATTAATGCCCCTGTTAAAACGTTATTAGTAAGCTTAAACAAACAAAATAAATAAAACAAAGTAAAAATTATCCAAGCTATTAACTGGTAAATTCTGAAACTGGCTTAAATTACTTATTGAAATTATGACCATAAATTTAACTGCATTCATCTTCTGGAGTACAGTGAAAAGGTACTGTCTATAGCGATTAAATAATGCTTAAAAATTTCTCCTCTTTTGAATCTTTTTTCTTGCCAGACACTACTCTGGCTGTTTGTTAGTTCTGCAGTCATAAGAAGAAAGATCTCAACTGTACTCTTACAGAACTCATTTTCTGTAGCTAGTTAAGTCCCCAAATTCATACTATGTAATATAAGGAAAGTACAGTGCTCTCAGATCACATGAGATGAGCATTTACACTAGATGCCTAAGCTGTGAAATGGAAAAGTTAGAATGAGTTGGCAAGCATGCTTTTGTAGAAGTTTTCTAAGTCAAAACACATCATGTAACAAGAATCCCAAGCCAATGTGATAACAACACAATAGAGAGAATAAAAGGATGTCAATATGGTGCAACATAAGTTGTCACAAATATACAGAAATCTGCTTATTAATGGTCTCGCATGCCCTGTTAGGAGATTTTGTCTTATCTCAAGAAAAATATCAGGATTATTGAACAGCTTATCTTTAAATAGGTGAGTAAAGTGATTTGAAAGCTAATACATTTTTTCAGATACTTTATAGCACAGAGTTTATTATTGCATCTTAAATCCTTGAAGATAAATTTATATGTGACTTTTGATGCAATAAAACAGATAAAGATTGATTTTATAATAGAGTTTACTTTTTAGAGCCATTTTTGGTTTACAGAAAAATTAAACAGTTGGTATAGAGATTTCCCAAATATTCCCTGCCTCTACACATGCATATTCTCTCCTATCATCATCATCATCCCCTCAGCGGTGCATTTGTTAGTACTGATGAACCTACACTGACCCAAAATAATAAACCAAGGTTCCTAGTTTTCATTAGGGTTCACTCTTGGGGTTGTACCTTCTATAAATTTGTACAAATGTATAATGACAAGTATGCATCTATCATTATAGTATCATATAGAGTAAAAGACCTCTGAGATACACCATTCATCTCTCCCTGCCCCAAGTGTTTGCAGTAAATAATCTTTCTAATGTCTCCATAGTTTAACCTTTTTCAGAATGTCATATAGTTGGAATCATACTGCATATAGCCTTTTTAGATTGGCTTCTTTCATTTAGAAATATACATTTAAGATCTCTCTACCTCTTTTCACGGCTTGAGAGCTCATTCCTTTTTACTGCAGAAAAATATTAAGTAGTTTATTCATTTACTGGAAGACATCTTGGTTCCTTCCACATTTTAGCAGGTATGAAAAAAGCTGCCATAAATATCCAAATATCCATTATTATCCAAACTTATTTTGTGTGGAAAATAAGTTTTCAACTCATTTGGATAAATACCAATGAGTGCTAATGCTGAATCATTTGGTAAAAACATGTTTAATTTGATAAGAAACTGCTAAAGTGTCTTGTAAAGTAGTTGTACTGTTTTGCTGACACACCAATAATGAATTAGAATTCCTGTTGCTCCACATTAGCACATTTTAAATATTATCTACAAATTAGATTGAAGGAGAAAAGGTGGTGCATGAAGATGCAGTAAGAATAATTTTTAAATGTCCTATGGAGTATGGTGACTTAAATGAGAATACTAACTGGCAGAAAAATAAGTACATTTAAAGTATAATATGAATATAGACATTTACTTCTGAAATGGCACAATCAGAAGGTCCATGGACAAGTTTTTCAGTGAAACAAGCATTACTGGTAAAAATCATTGAAAAAAACTCTTCTGAAATTATTCAAAGGAAATGAAACAAATGAGATATTCAAGAAAACATACTTGAACTTGGTAAAAACAGTGAATCTATGGAATTTAAAATGTGAGCATATCCCTTTATCTTCCCTTCCACTTCGGCAAGATGGAAATTCCAGGCATGCACAGTAAAAAACACAGAGCTCCCTTCTTCAAGCTCTAATTCTAGAGATATCGTACCTTCTCGGGAGGGAAAGACCACCAGAGTTTTCTATTCTCCATAGCTTCGCATTGCAAAAGTTAAATTCTAGAGGAGTATAACCAAAAGATTGGGGGCTTCTTTCTTCTTTCCAGCCCAACTCAAAAGGCACGGATCAACCTCAAGTACAGTATAGTGAGAATATTGGGCATCATAATATTTACCCCAATTTATTTGTAAGGCAGAAATATTATGGAGGGGAAGCATGAAGGAAGAACAGTTTGACCTACCACTCTGCTCCTAAAGGGTGTCACCTAGAGAGAAGCATCCTACTGTCTCGCCCATCAGCTCCAGAGCTGGACATCAGATTATTTGCCATGGGAAGAGGCAGACCACAAATCAGAGAACTCTGAAGCTTTACCCAAAGGAAATGCCTCTATTTGAAACAGAGTATTGAGAAGTTCAAGTTGAAGGGTTACATTAAAAAACAATGGAGCTCTCGTTAGTAAGCAAATTAGTAAAGACTGATGCTTCATGGGAAATAAGGCCTGAACAATTAGCCAGCTTGTTTGCCAGAGAGAAATAAGAAAATACAAAGCTGAGATGGCTCCATCTGAAGTGAGACAAAAAATCTCAAACATTTACCTCAAAAGCTATCCTCACAAAGGACTCTGGATTTAATTGAATTAAACTGTGGGTCAATTTATACCATAGGACCATCTTGAAAACAATAGAGGAATTAGCTAAAAATTAGTGGACCCTAACAGTTAGACATGTTCAGGGAAAGAGAAAATCAAAATTAGCCTTATTAAACCACTTTCATCCAAGTGTGACTTTGTGTTTACCAAGGCTGCACAGTCTAAGAAGCAATGCCAAGACTTCACCCTGTGGAGGTAATATGTTTCACTAAAATAGTACAGCCAGTCATTAAATAAGTAAGCAAACAACAGTAAGAGGCACTAGAGGGATGAATAGTTGTTATTTGAGTGGCTACAATATATCTAATATTTCCAGTTTTCAGTAAAAAGTATTAAAATGCAAAAATAAATTATAGAAGTGTGATTCATACACATATACATATGTTATGCAAATAGGCAAAATAAAGAGCTAGTGAAAGAGACCAGATGTCAAATTCAAATTTCAAAGTAGCTATTTTAAATACACTTAAGGAAAAACAACAACAACAAAACATGATCAAAGAAGTAAAGACAGTTATAATGACAGTGTTACATAAATTAGAGAATACCAATAAAGAGAAATTATAAAATAAACTGTACATAAGTTTTTGAATTGAAAACTACAATAACTGGCCACGCATGATGACATACATTGCTAATCCCAACATATTAGAAGGCTGAGGCAGGAGGATTGCTTGAGGCCAGGAGTTTGAGACCAGCCTAGGAAACATAGCAAGATCTTGTCTCTATAGAAAAAAAGAAAGAAAAAGAACAGGAAACTATAATAACTTAAAAGAAATTTCACTAGCAAGACGAAAAGCAGATTTGAACGGCAGAACATAAAATTAGTAAACTTGAAGATAGATTGATAGTGATTATACAGTCCAAAAAGTGGGTTAGAGAGAGAGAAAAAGAGAGAGAGAAAGAAAGAGAGAGAGAGAGAGAGAGAGAGAGAGAGAGAGAAATAAAGAAAATAATCTTAGAGAAATGTGGGATTTTGTGATGGGGTAAATTCATGTCAATTTGGATAGGGTGTGGTACCCAGACACTGATCAAACACCGTTGTAGACTTTGCCATGAATGTGTTTTAGATTTGTTAACACTTAAATCAGTAAACTCCGAGTAAAGCAGATTACCCTCCATAATGTTGGTGAACTTTATCAATCATTTGAAAGCTCTATGAGCAAAAGACTAAAGTCCCCTAAGGAAAAGGAATTCTGCCTCCAAGCTGCTTTCAGGCTTGAGACTATAATATCAACTCTCCTGGGTTACCATCCTGCCCTTCAGATTTGAGACTTACCTGCTGTGCGAGGCCAATTTACACACACACACACACGCACACAATTGGTTCTCTTTCTCTCTGGAAAACATTGATTAATACAAATACCATTAGGTATACCAAAATATGCATAAAGACAGTAGTGGAAGAAGAGAAAGGATGCAAAAAAGAATTCAAATAAATAATGTTTTTCAATTTCTGAAATTCATTGAAACACTTACACACATTCAAGTAACTGGACAGAATCCAAGTAGGATAAACACAAAAATTCTCACAGACATAGCATACAGTAAAAATGCTAAAAGTCAAAGAATAGAGAAACTCTCAAAAGCAACAAAAGAGAAACAGCCAATCATGTACAAAAAAAACTCCATGAAGATAAACAGTTAACTTCTTATTTAAAAAAATAGGAAGACAGAAGTCAGTAGGAGAACATATTCAAACGGCTGAATGAATAAAAACCTGTCACCCAAGAAACACATATCTGGAAAAACAATCTTTCAAAAAGGAAGGCAAAATAAAAACATTTTCAACTGAACAAAAACTGAGAGAACTAATTGTTATCAGACTCCTTACAAGAAACACTAGAGAAAATTCTTCAGGATTAAAGCAAGGGACCCCAGAGAGTAATTTAAAACCACACGTTAAAACAAAACAAAGCAAAAAAAGAGGACTTACATTTCTGGTCTAAGATATAAAGGGCTTGGAAGTTGAATTAGTCAGAGTTCTCTTAGAGAAACAGAACTAACATGATATATACATCCTGTTATATATATAAATATATATATATTTATATATATATTTATATATATAACATACATGGGATGTACATATATATATACACACACATATACATGGGAATTTATTAAGTATTAGCTTACACAATCACAAGGTTCTACAATAGGCTGTCTGCAAGCTGAGGTGCAAGGAGAGCCACTCCGAGTCCCAAAACTGAAGAACTTGCAGTCCGATGTTTGAGGGAAGGAAGCATCTAGCATGAGAGAAAGATGTAGGTTGGGAGGTTAGGCCCATCTCATCGCTTCATGTTTTTCTGCCTGCTTTATATTTGCTGGCAGCTTATTAGATGGTGCCCACCCTATTAAGGGTGGGTCTGCCTTCCCCAGTCCACTGACTCAAATGTTAATCTCCTTTGGCAACACCCTCAAAGACATACCCAGGATCAATAGTGCATCCTTCAATCCAATCAAGTTGGCACTTAGTATTAACCATCACAGAAGTCATCACCCCTATCTTCAAAATAAGAAATATCTGGACAAACTGAAAACCCACAACTTTTCTTAGATCACAGAAGTATTGAGGACATGCTGCCACTTTGAAAATCGGAAAGTCAAAAAAATATGAAGATTCACACCTTACCAGAAGCAGAATCCTAGGAGTACAATTCCATTGCTGGGGCAGTAATAATAGAAGCTCTTAAACTGTGATTGACAAATTGGTAGGGGCTAAGTGTTAATGAGATTGAAAGTGCATTAGTCCAGTGATACAGTCTTGGGAAGAACCACCACACTTTCTTGAACTCAGATTATTTTACTCAATATATTAAGTGTGGCTATGAACAAAAAATTACAAGGCATACTAAAAGGCAAAATATAAAATCTGAAGAGACAAGAAATCATTAGGATTAATCTCAGATATGGCAAATATTTTGGGATTATCAGAATGGTAACTTAAAATAACTATAATTATTTTGCTAAGGGTCCTAATATAAAAATTAAATAGCATACATAAAAAAATAGGCAATGTAAGCAAAAAGATAAACTTATAAAAATCCAAAGGAAATGCTAGAAATAAAAAATACACTCTAACAGAAATGAAAAATTTATTTGACATATTCATGAGTAGAGTGGATATAGTTTTAAAAAATCAAAAATCTTGACATTATATCAATAGACTCACAAAACTGAAATGCAAGAAAAAAAAGAAAAAAAATATAACAATATCCAAGGATTCTGAGACACCTGTAAAACCTAGAATATATGCATAAAGAGATAAAAATAGTAAATATATACAGTAATAATAACTGATAATTTTCAAAAATCAAGGACACCAGAACTTCTTAACAAATTAAAAAATTAGACAAAATATATTCTTAGACTTACATGGAGTTAGACTACAAAATGATGAAAGAAGAAGAGGTAGAAAACTTCAAATTTTTACAGATTAAATCACAAACTTCTAAATAGTTCTTGTGTTAATTAATGTCTCAATAACAAATTAAAAATATTTTAAATTAAATGAAAATGAGAATATGGTTTTATAAAGTTTGAGGAATTATGGACATCAGTGCTCAGAATGATAGTCACACCACTGAAGGCATATATTAGAAAAAAGCATCAAATAAAAATAAATGTTTATTTATAGATCTAGCTAGATAAATCCAAGGGCTATATGAGGAAACCTATAAACCTCTGATAAAAAATCAGTTAAGATATAAATAAAGACATAGTTCATGTTTATTGACAGAAACACTCAACATTGCTAAGATGTCCATTTTTTCAACTTGATCTATAAATCCAATGCAATTCTAATCAGAATTCCAATGAGTTGTTTTTTTGCATATTGGCAAACCAATAATAAAGTTTACATGAAAAGGCATCAACAAGAATAGTAAAAGCACTTGGGGAGGCTGAGGCAGGTGAATCACTTCAGGCCACTAGTTTGATACCTGGTTAAGCACCATAGTGAGTCCCCACCTCTTTATATATGTTTTTTTTTTTTAATTGGCAAGGTTTGGTGGTGCACTCATGTGGTCCCAGCTACTCATGAGGCTGAAGTGGGAGAATTGCTTGCACTCAGGAGTTTAAAGTTACAGTGAGGTATGATCATGCCACTGCACTCCAGCCTGGAATTACAATTTTGGAAGACTCACAATGCATGACTTCAAAACTATTACAAAGCTACCGTAATAAAGACAGCTTGGTTTTGGTGAAAGAATGATCATATTGACCAATGTAACAGAATCGAAAGCCCAGGAATAGACCCATACAGATATAGTCAACTAATATTTGAAAAAGGAGCAAAGGCAGTTCAAAGGGGAAAAATAGTGTTTTCAATAAACAGTTGTACAATAATTGGATATCCATATGCAAAAATGAACCGAGAAACAAACTTTATATATTTCACAAAAAACAGCACAAAATAGAATGTAGACCTAAATGTAAAACACAAAATAATATAAGTTCTGGAAATGCAGTAGAAAGTCTACATGACCTTGTGCTTGATGATGAGTTTGTAGATAAAAACTTCAAATGTACAATCTATGAAAAAAGAAAGTTTATACTTTCTTAAAATTGAAATTGATCTGCTTTTTAAAAGATAGTTAACAAAAAACAATGATAGTTAACAAAATAAAAATACTGATCTTTATTAAATAAAAAATAATAACTTTCTAAAAATGAAAGAAGTCTTCAAGAAACATGGAATTACATAAAACAACCAAACATTATGAGTTGTTGGCTTTCATGAGAGAGAAGGAGAAAAGAAAAGAACCTGAAAAACATATTTGAGGGAATAATTTAAGATAAATTTTCTAATATTCCTTGTCAGATAGACATTCAGAAACAGGAAATCCAGAGAACACCAGCAAGATACTATGCAAAATGAATTTTACTAAGGCATGTAGTCACCAGACTGTCCAAGGTCAATACTAAAGAAAAAAAAATCTTAAAGCAGTTGGAGAAAAAAGTCAGATCACATACAAAGGGAACCTCATCAAGTTAACAGCAGATTTCTCAGCAGAAATCTTACAATCCAAGAGAGACTGGGGACTTATTTTCACCATTATTAAAGGAAAGGAATTCCAACCAAGAATTTCATATCCTGCCAAACTAAGCTTCAAAAGTGAAGAAGAAAGAAAATATTTTCCAGAGAAGCAAGCACTAAGGGAATTCATTACCATGAGATTAGCCTTACGAGAGAGTTCTAAACATGTTAAAGAACAATACTTGATCACACACACACACACACACACACACACCTCACTTAAGTACATAGTTCACAGACCCTGTGAACCAAGCACACAATATAAAATACAAAGAAAAGAGCTAAAAACTTCACAATAACCACACATGTCAATACTATCCTTGAACATAAATGGTCTAAACCTCACTTAGAAGGCACAGTGTAGCAAGCTAAGTTGTTTAAAAAAAGGACCCATTCCTCTTCTCTCATCAAAAGATTCATCTCACATGCAACAACACCCATAGGCTCAAAGTAAAATAATAGAGAAAGATCTATCATGCAAATGGAAGACACATACAAAAAAAAAAAGTAGTCACTATTTTTAAACTAGATTTTAAACCAATGATAGTAGAAAAAAAGACAAAGAATGGCATTATATAATGATAAAGGGTTCAATTTAACAAGAGGACAACTATCCTAAATATATATGCACCCAACATTGGAGCACACAGATTCATAAAACAGGTTTTTATGGATGTAAAAACAAAAACAAAAACTTTAGACAGCCACAAAATAATAGTGGAGGACTTCAACACCCTACTGACAGCATTAGACAGATAATGAAGGCAAAAAACTAACATAGAAATTTTGGACTGAAATTCTACACTTAACCAATGGGAACTAATAAACATTTACAGAATACTTTACCATCAACCACAGAATATATATTCTTCTTGTATGCACACAGGATATACTCTAAGCTCAACCACATGTTCAGCCATAAACCAAGTCACAATAAATTCAAAAAACTTGAAATCATACCAGCCACACTCTTGGATCACAGTAGAATAAAAATAGAAATCAACACAAAGAATCTCTTAAAACCACACAATTACATGGAAATTCTTGCTCCTGAATGACTTTTAGTAAACAAAGAAATCAAGACAGAAATTTAAAAAAATTCTTTGAAAAAAATGAAAACAGAGACACGACATACCAAAATCCCTGGGATGCAGCAAAAATAGTGTTAAACAAATTTCTAGCACCAAACACCTACTTCAAAAAGTTAGAAAAATCTAAAATTTATGATTTCATATTACACCTAGAGGAACTAGAAAAGCAAGAATAAACTAAATTCAAAGTTACAAGAAGAAGGGAAATAAATAAAATCAGAGTGGAACTGAATAAAACTGAGATCTAAAAATCCATACAAAGACTCAATGAAACCAAAACTTTTTGTTTGAAAGGATAAACAAAACTAATAGACTACTATCTGTATTAACACAGGAAAAAAAAGAGACAATCTCAATAAGTATCATCGGAAAAAAAAGTAACATTATAACTGATTCCACAGAAACACAGAATATATACTCACAGACTGTTATGAACACCTCTATGCAACCAAGCTAGAACATCTAGAGGCAATGGTTACATTCCAGGAAACACTAAACCTCTCAAGACTGTATCAGGAAGAAATTGAAACCCTGAACCGATTAATATCAAATTCTGAAATTGATCAGTAATAAAAACCTACAAACCCCCCAAAATTCTGGACCGGATGGATTCACAGACAAATTCATCCAGATATACAAATAGCTTGTACCAATTCTACTGAAACTATTTCAAAAAATAATAAAGAAAAGACTCCTTTCTACTTTATTTTATGAAGCCAGTATCACCCTGATACTAATACATGGGAAAGACATCACAAAAAAAGAAAACCTACAGGCCAATATTCCTGACAAATATAGACACAAAAATCTTCAACAAAATACTAGCACACTGAATTCAACAGCACATAAAAAGTTAATTTGCCACAATTAAGTAGTCTTCATTCCTGGATGAGAGGATGGTTGAATGAATCAATAAATGTGATTCACAACATTAACAAAATTAAAAACAAGAACCATATGATCATCTCAATAGACATAGAAAAAAATTTATAAGATTAAACATCCCTTCATGATAAAAATCCTCAACAAGCTAGACATGAAAGGAACATGTAGTAAAATAATAAGAGCTATCTATGACAAACCCACAGCCAACCTCAGACTGAACAGAGAAAAGCTGGAGGTACTCACCTTAAGAAGAGGAACAAGACAAGAATGCCCACCCTCACCCTTCAATTCAACATTGTACTGGAAGTCCTAGCTAGACAAATCATGCAAGAGAAAGAAATGAAGGCACCCAAATACGAAAATGAGAATACAATTTATCTCTGTTCACTAAAGATAGGATTCTTTACCTAGAAAACCCTAAAGACTCTGCCAAAGCCTCTTAGAACTGATAAATGACTTCGGTAAAGTTTTAGTATAAAAAGTCAATGTAAGAAATTAGTAGCATTTCTATACACCAATAATGTTTAAGCTGGGAGTCAAATCCAGAATGCAACCCATTTACAATAGCCACCAAAAAATAAAATAAAATACCTCAGAATACATCTAACCAAGAAGTGAAAGATCTGTACAAGGAGAATTACAATATGTTGCTGAAATAAATCATAGATAAACAAATAGCAAATCATACTATATGCATGGATTGAAAAAATCAATACTGTTAAAATGACCCTATTGCCCAAAACAATATACAGTTTCAATGATATTTCCTATCAAACTACCAATGTCACTTTTCACAGAATAAGGAAAAAATTATCCCAAAATTCATATAGAATTAAAACAGAGCCCAACAAGGAAAACTCTCTTAAGCAAAAAGAACAAAGCCAGAGGCCTCATATTATTCTGTTTCAAACTATATTATAAGGCTACAGAAACCCAAACAGCATGGTATGGTACAAAAACAGACACATAGAACACAATAGAGAACTCAGAAATAAAACCACATACATACAGCCATCTGATCTTTGACAAAGTCCACAAAAGTAAGGAATGGGAAAATGATTCCCTATTCAGTAAATGGTGCTGGGATAGCTTTCTAATCATATGCAGAAGAATGAAACTGGATGATTGTCTTTCCCTCTATAATCAAATTAACTCAAGAGAGATTAAAGATTTAGATGTAAGACCTTAAACTATAAGAATTTTAGAAGAAAATGTAACAAATACCATGATAGACATAGGCCTTGGTAAAGAATTTATCGTTAAGACCTCAAAATTAATTGCAACAACAACAAAAAAAAAGTTGCAAACGGGACCTAATTAAATTAAAGAGCTTCTGCACAACAACAGAAACTATCAACAGAGTAAACAGGCAACCTGCAGAGAGGGAGAAAATATTTACAAACTATGCATCCAACAAAAGTCTAATATCCAGAATGTATAAGAAGTTACACAATTCGACAAGCAGAAAAATAACGTTTTTAAAAAGTGGTCAAAACAATTCAGCAGATATTTCTCAAAAGAAGATATACAGGTGGCCAAAAAACATGAAAAAATGCTCTATATCACAAATCTCAGAGAAAAGCAAATGAATACCACAATGAAATATCATCTCACACCAGTCAGAATGACTATTATTTTAAAAATTAAAAAAAAACACATATTAGTGAGGCTGTGGAGAAGAGGGAACACTTGCATAAACCTATAGGTGGGAATGTAGATTAGGTCAGCCACTTTGAAAGCAGTTTGGAGATTTTTCAAAGAACCTGGAACCCACCATTGGACTCAAGAATCCCATCACTGGGTATATACACAAAGGAAAATGAATAGGTCTACCAAAAAGACAGATGCACTTACATGTTCACTGCAGCACTATTCACTATAGCAAAATATGGAATCAAGCTAGATGCTCATCAGTGGAAGAGTGAATAAAGAAAATGTGGTGCATGTACACCATGAAATGCTATCCATTCATAAAAATGAATGAAATCATGTCCTTTGCAGCAACATGTTTGCAGCTGTTTTCCATTATTCTAAGCAAATTAATATAGAAATTAAAAAGCATGTATTGCATATTAGCACTTATAAATGGGGGCTAAAAATTGGGTACATATGTACTGAAAGATGGAAAAAATAGACACTGGAGACTACTACAGGTGGGAGAGGAGGAGTGGGAAATGGGTTAAAAAACTACCTATTGAGTACTATGCTCAATACCTGGGTGATGGAATCATTCACATGCCAAACCATAGTGTCACATAATATACCTATGTAACAAACCTGTACATAAATCTAAAATATAAATTGAAATTATTTTTTAAAAAAAAAAAAAGTCATGGTGTTTAAAAAGTTATTTGAAAAGCAAGTATCTAGTAAATAACTTGTGTCCAAAATGCACAAAAAATTCTTAAAACACAGCAGCATGACAGGAAAAAAATCTAATTTAAAAGATTATCACTGACCCACAAAAATATAAATAACCATAAGAGAATATTATGAACACCTCTATACATATAAACTAGAAAATCCAGAAGAAATGGATAAATTCCTAGACACATACATCCTCCCAAGACTGAGCCAGGAAGAAAGTGAATCTCTGAACAGACCAATTATGAGCTCTGAACTTGAATCAGTAATAAATAGCCTACCAACCAACCAAAGTTCAGGAGCAGTAAAATTAACAAAATTAACAAATGAATCCTATCAGATGTTAAAAAAAAAAAAGCTGGCACCATTCCTACTGAAACTATTCCAAAAAAAAAAAAAAAAAAAAGACAAACAGGGACTCCTGCTTAACTCATCCTATGAGGCCAACATCATACTGATACCAATACCTGGCAAAGACACAACAAAAAAGAAAAGTTCAGGCCAATATCCTTGATGAACATAGATTCAAAACTCCTCAACAAAATACTGGCAAACCAAATCCAGCAACATATTCAAAAGCCTATCCACCATGATCCAGTAGACTATCCCTGAGATGCATGCTTGGTTCAACATACGTAAATCAGTAATTGTGATTCATCACATAAACAGAACTGAAGACAAAAACCAAACAATTATTTCAATTGATGCAGAAAATGCTTTTGATAAAATTCAACACCACTTCCTGTTAAAAACTATCCACAAACTAGCTATTGAAGGAACATACCTCAAATAATAAGAGCCATCTATGACAAACCCATAGCCAACATCATACTGAATGGATAAAAGCTGAAAGCATTCCCCTTGAAAACTGGCTCAAGACAAGAATTCCCTCTCACCACTCCTATTCAATGTAGTATTGGAAGTTCTGCCCAGGGCAATCAGGCAAGAGAAAGATATAAAGGGCATCCACATGGGAAGAGAATAAGTAAAACTGCTACTGTTTGCAGAAGACATGATACTGTATCTAGAAAAGCCTATAGTCTTGGCCCAAAAGCTCCTTGAGCTGATGAACAACTTCAACAAAGTCTCAGGATACAAAATCAATGTGCAAAAATCATTAGAATTCCTACAGACCAACAACAGTCAAGCCAAGAGCCAAACCAGGAATGCAATCTCATTCACAATTGCTAAAAAAAGAATAAAATACCTAAGAATACAGCAAAGGAGGTGAAAATTCTCCACAAAGAGAACAACAAATCACTGCTCAAAGAATTCAGAGATGACACAAAAAATGGAATCATATTCCATGCTCATGGAAAAAAAAGGATCAATATTATTTAAATGGCAATACTGCCCAAAGCAATGTATTGATTCAATGCTATTCCTATCAAACTAACAATAACATTCTTCACAGAACTAGAAAAAAATATATTAAATTTCATATGGAATCAAAAAAGAGCCAGAATGGCCAAGGCAATTCTAAGAAAAAAACAAAAAACAAAACTGCCTTCAAACTATAGTACAGGGCTACAGTAACCAAAATAGCATAGTACTGGTATAAAAACAGAAACATAAAACAACGAAACAGAACAGAGAGCCTAGAAAGAAGATTGCACACCTACAACTATCTGATCTTTGACAAAGCTGACAAAAATAAGCAATGGAGAAAGGACTCCATATTCAATAAATGGTTCTTGAGCTACTTTGGAAGAACAATGACATATGCATGTACATGGGCATCGCAGCACTATTCACAATAGCCTATATATAGAATCAACTTAGGTGCTTATCAGTGATGGATTGGATAAATAAAATGTGGCACATATACACCATGGAATACTACACAGCCATAAGACAGAATAAAAGCAAATCCTTTGCAGCAACATGGATGCAGCTGGAAGCCATTATCCTAAGCAAACTAATGCAGGAACAGAAAATCATATACCACATGGTCCCACTTAGAAGTGAAAACTAAATGAAGAGAATACACGAACACATAGAGGGGAACAACTGACACTGGGGCCAACCAGAAGGTGGAGGGTGTGAGGAGGGAGAGGATCAGGAATAATAAATAATGAGAACTAGGCCTAATAGCTGGGTGATTAAATAATCTATACAATAAGCCCCCATGACACAAGTTTACCTATGTAACAAAACTGCACATGAACCCCTGAATTTAAAATAGAAGTTAAAAAAAGAAAAGATGAAATTATATTTATCATTGAAGTATGTAATATTTGTAGATATTAGTAATATAAATGTAATATTAGTACAATTTTCTAAACAAGAACTCAGGTTTAACTTTAAATGTTGGTTCAAAAATAGAATCAAAATAGGGAAAGTTAATACAGTTCAGAATACAGCAATACAGCAATATAAATACATCTTTTTGAAACCATAGATAAAAACCTGCTACATGACTTTTCTTATCTTCATTCTTAGAGACCTATTTATTAGTTCACTTTCATAATTTTTCTTACATTATAATGTACTATGTCTACATCAACTCCCTAAGCACAGAAAACATTTGAATCCATTTGTTTACAGTGTACCTATAACAAACCTGAACATATGCCCTGAACTAAAAATAAAAGCTAAGTAAAATAAAATAAAAAATTACAAAAGGAATCTTACCAAAGACTACACAGAAAACAGCAAAGAAGTATACAGAAAGATTATCAATATCATTTGTCATTAGGAAATTGCAAGTTAAATCAGTGAGATAATACTATATACCTGTTAGAATGACTAAAATCTAATAACCGATAATTCCAAATGTTTTTGAGAACTTAGAAAAACAGGAAATGTCATTCATTTCTAGTGGGACATTTGGCAGATTCTTACCAAGCTACAAAGTCCCAGCATTCACATTTCTAGATATTTACCCAGTTCTTTTGAAAATCTTTATCCACACAAAAACCTGCACAAGAATGTATACAGCACCTTTATTTGTAATTACCAATAAATGGACATAACAATGGTGCTCCTCAACAGATGAACTGATAAGCATATTTGTGTAAAACCATACAAGGAATATTATTCAACAATAAAAAATGTGCAATCAATCCACAAGAGCATATGAATGAAACTTAAGTGCATATTTATAAGTGAAAGGAGACATTCTGAAAAGGGTCCATACTGTATTATTACAATTATATGACATTCTAAATAAAGCAAAACTATAGAGTCAGTAAAAAATATAAACTATTCTTGTAATTCATGAGAAGTGGATTGTGTTGAACAGGTCAAAGATGGCATATTTTTAGGGTCATGAGACAATTTCATATGATAGTATAATGATTTAAACCATAGTGCATGTTTCAAAACCTATAGACACCTGTGGCTTTTTGGAGTACAGCCACCCTCCAGTACAGGCTGGCACTGAGTGACTGTGGCTTTTCCAGGTGCACAGTGCAAGTTGTCAGTAGATCTACCATTCTGGGGTCTGGAGGATGGTCGTCCTCTTCTAAAAGCTCTACTAGGTGGTGCCCAAGTAGCAACTCTGTATGGGAGCTCCGGTCCCACATTTCCTTTCCACACCGACCTAGCAGAGGTTCTCCATGAACCTGCAGCAAACTGCCTGGACATCCAGGCATTTCCATACATCCTCTGAAATCTAGGTGAAGGTTCCTAAACCCCAATTCTTGACTTCTGTGCATTCACAGGCTCAACACCACATGGAAGATGCCAAGGCTTTGGGCTTGCACCCTCTGAATCCATGGCCTGAGCTCTGCATTGGCCTTTTTCAGCCATGGTTAGAGAGGCTAGGACACAGGACACCAAGTCCCTAGGCTGCACACAGCATGGGGACTCTGGGCCTCACCCATGAAACCATTTTTTCTTCCTAGGTCTCCAGGCCTGTGATGGGAGGGGCTGCCGCAAAGGTCTCTGACATCCGCTGGAGACATTTTTTTCCATTGTCTTGGGGATTAACATTTGGCTCCTCGTTACTTTTGCAAATTTCTGCAGCCCGCTTGAATTTCTCCTTAGAAAATGGGATTTTCTTTTCTATCTCGTTGTCAGGCTGCAAATTTTCTGAACATTTATGCTCTGCTTCCCTTATAAAACTGAATGCCTTTAACAGCACCCAAGTCACCTCTTAAATACTTTGCTTCTTAGAAATTTCTTCCACCAGATACCCTGAATCATCTCCCTCAAGTTCAAAGTTCCACAAATCTCTAGGGCAGAGGCAAAATGCCACCAGTCTCTTTGCTAAAACATAGCAAGAGTTACCTTTGCTACAGTTCCCAACAATTTCCTCATTTCCATCTCAGACTACCTCAGCCAGGACTTTATTGTGCATATTTCTATCAGCATTTTGTGCAAAGCCATTCAACTACTCTTTAGGAAGTTTCAAATTTTCCCACATTTTCCTGTCTTCTTCTGAACCCTACAAACTGTTCCAACCCCAGCCTGTTTCCCAGTTCCAAAGTCACTTCCACATTGTCAGGTATCTTTTAAGCAGCACCCCACTCTACTGGTACCAATTTACTGTATTAGTCTGTTTTTAAGCTGCTGATAAATACACACCCAAGACTGGGCATTTTACAAAAGCAGGAGATCTAATGCACTTACAGTTCCACATGTCTGGGGAGGCCTCACAATCATGGCAGAAAGTGAAAGGCACATCTCACATGATTGCAGACAAGAGAAGAGAGCTTGTGCAGGGAGACTGTCATTTTTTAAAACTATCAGGTCTAGTGAGACTTATTCACTATCACGAGAACAGCACGGGAAAGATCTGCTCTCATGATTCAGTTACCTCCCACTGGCTCCCTCCCATAACACATGGGAATTCAAGATGAGATTTGGGTGGGGACACAGTCGACCCATATCAAAGATGTATTGTAGTTTTGATTGGAATTAATTTAAATTTATAATTAATATTTTTGCAATAACAATTATACCCAAGTGTATAGCTCATTTTTTCAGTTTTAAGGTTTTGTGAAAACTTTCCTAATGTCTTAAAATATATCTCCTTTCATTCCTTTTTAAGTTGATTCCTGTTTAATATCATTCAAATAAAGAAAAATATAAACATCTCTAAATTTTTTTAACTGTTCCCCTTACTGAAAAGCTCTTTGCATTTTCTTTCTAATAATTTGTCATGGGCTTGTTTTAGATGTTAGTAATAGAAAACCATACTATATTTTAAAAAATAAGTTTTATACTACATTAAATTTTAA
This sequence comes from Homo sapiens, assembly GCF_000001405.40. Taxonomy (NCBI): domain Eukaryota; kingdom Metazoa; phylum Chordata; class Mammalia; order Primates; family Hominidae; genus Homo; species Homo sapiens. The sequence goes on along the minus strand of NW_009646200.1, from coordinate 44,282 downwards.
AGGGTAAACTTAGAGCCCTATGTACTATTACTCTTTGCCCCTAGTCAGGTTGATAAGAGAGGTAAGTTGGAGTTACAAACTGGCTGTATCTATTGACCCACAACCACTAGTTGCTGCAGCTATATTACTGTTATTTGTCTTTTAGTTAAATCATGTAACAAATTATGTATTATATATATATTAAAAATTTTATATATAAACTTATATGTTATATATTACAAATTATATATAAACATATACAATTATAATACATAATTTTACTATAAAAGTTGATATGGTAAATGTGTGTATATTATATATAAATATATTATTGTCTCTGTAATGTATACATTGTATATATAGTATATAGACAATATATAATATATACATAATATTGTTTACATATATAATATGTAAATACAATATATTTAATATATAATTATATATTATATATAATATATTATTGTATTTATGTAATATATACACAAATTTACTATAACAGGTAGGGTAATAACTCAGAAACATTTACATAATTAAAAAAGGATTTATTATTAGAAGCAATACACTAAACACTGGGGTTTATCTTGAGGAATATTATGAGAATATGGAGACATAGGGCATTATATTCCATGAAATTGTTCAGTATTATTTTCCAAATTATCTTTTTATAATTTGATATTTCTTTATGAATATAAAGCTAAACATTTATATTAAGATGGAAACAAAAAGTGAAATGTAATCCATCAACTGCTTACTCTGGTTTATTAACTAAGATGTAAATCAGTATTAGATTTGAATCCCTATCTCATTACTAGAAAGGTACACAACTATGAGGTAAGTCTTTATATTGTTAGCCTTAATTCCCTTACAGGTATAATAAAAATAATTTTACCTATACCTCATGATTTCTTACAAATTAAAAAAGAAAATTATAGGGAGAAATGCAAATGTTTAGATTTTATATGATGAAGATGTTCACCAAACCAACCCAAATATTCATGAGGCAAACAAGTTTTGAGTGTTTAAACAATGTAATTTAAATCAAGTTATAGTTTACCTTAAATCCCCAACCAAAAAAAAAAAATGAAATTATAGGGGAGAAAAACAATTGGATCATATATAAAACCTCAGCATTAAATTTATAATACAAATAGTTGGAAACACAGTCCTTATTGTTATATAGACATTGAAGATTGATCATTTTTGATGGAATAAATGACATAATTTGCATATGAATAAATTTGAAACCATATAGAATGTATATTACTTTAAAAAGAAATCACATAAGTTTTCAGTAGTTATTATTGAGTTGGGAATAGCCTTTGAGGAATTAAATGAATACTTTCTCTTTGCATTTACCAAACAGATTAAGAACAGATGCTGGAAATTTACGTACAATTCCCAAGAGCAAAAGAATAACCGAAGTTTAGGAAAGACAGGTGGTCAAGCAATTAAAATATCTGCATCTCAAAAATCTCTAGGGTACAATAAAATCCCCACAAGAATTCAGAAATAAAAGCACATTGCTCTGAAGAATATTTTCTTTAATATTGAGACATACTTTTAAAGAGTGACAAATATGGATGAATTAATTTTTACTTTTAGAAAAAACAAAGTAGATGAGAAATACGGTGGGTATATAAAGTTCTAGGATTATAGGACAACAGATATATTAGTTAATAATATGTTAAATGAACTTAAAAATATTGTGACATTGTGTCTATTATCACTTTTTTGCCTTAAAGAGCAATTGCTTCAAAATTTCAGAGTATAACGGCATTCTTTGAACTGCCAACCACTCACGAAAAGATTTTACATATTAAAGAAAATAAAACTTGTTCATTGTGTTTTTCCTCTGCTAACTTTGTTTAATTTAAAAAAATGAGTAAATCAAGGCCCACACGACTTAAAATGAACTTGAATCAGACAAAACGAAGAAGAGGGAAAAGTTGATTAGTAATTGCATAAAAGGAAAACACATCTGTAATCTTAAAAGCTTAACTGAAAAGCTATATTAGATGATTAAATATTATGCATTCTAGGGCTACAGAAGCAAGCAGAATAGGCTTCTATTGAGTTCAAACATACTTGATAATAAAATTAACAAAAAAAATATTATTTCTACTATGGTAAGTAATGTTCTGTGTTTTGTTTGTGTGAATTAAATATGTAAATACAAATAGAACATATCATTTTAAATAAAAAAGATAATTTACAACAAAATGTGGATTTATTAATGTTATCTAATATAACTGAATGCCTATAAAATAATACTCCAAAATGTTTTATGTTATTATGATTTATACAATACATGTTTCTGAAGAATATATGCATATATTTATGTGCATATGCTATTATGCACATTTTCTTCTAATTTAAGACTTTTATTGTGCCCTTCACTTCCACGCATCTCCAAAAGCTCAGGAGGAGGCCTACAATATATTGAGGAACTGGACAAGTCCAGTGACCTTTTATTTCCCCAGGAATGATCCCCACTGTTTCCCTGGGAGGTTGTTCCATTGCTTACAGCTTCCATTCTGCTGTGGACTGCATTGTGTTCCTTCAAAATGTATGTATTAAAGCCTTAACCCCCAATGTGACTGTATTTGGAGATACATTCTACAAGGAGGGAATTAGGCTTAAATGAGGTGATCGAGTGGGGCCCAAACCTAATGGTTTAGTATTTTTCCTTATAAGAAGAGACACCAGCAGATCTTCTTTTCCTTTCTCTCTGCAGTCACATAAAAGAGACCATCTGCAAGTCACACCAGAAAGTGCATCATATGACACCTTGATCTTGTACTTCCCAACCTCTTCAACTGTGAGAAAATAAAGGTCTGTTGTTTAAGCCAAAATAAACAAGCAAACAAAAAAATATAACTTTGGCTTAGTAGAATATATCACCTCATAAAGAAGAACCTACGTTACAGTTAACCCTTGAACAACACAGGTTTGAATTGTGCATGTCAACTTATACATAGATTTTCTTCTGTCTCTGCCATCCTGAGGCTCCAAGACCAACCCCTTCTCTTTCTCCTCCTCCTCAGCCTACTAAACTGAAGATTATGAGGATGAAGACCTTTATGATGATTCACTTCCACTTAATAAATAAAAATATATATTTTCTCTTCCTACTGATTTTCTTAATGATATTCCTTTTATCTTGCTAACTCAACTGTAAGAATACAGTTTGTAATACATACACAAAATATGTGTTAAAAGAGAGGTTATCAGTAAGTCTTTTTGTTAACAGTAGGTAACTAGTTGTTAAGTTTTGGGGAGTCAGTGGTTACATGACTGGTTTTTGATAGCTTCAAGGGTCGACTGCATATTCTTTTAACAAATATTACTGATATTTAATAACTGAATAATTTCATTTTGGGTCAACAATTAATCAACCTCTATCTGTTGAATATGAAACTGAATTTAATTGCCTGTTAAATAGAAAAAAAATAGATCTGGGACTAATAAGTTCACACACTTAAGTCCAGAGGTCTTCTGCCTTTAATATTTTAACTATAAAATAAGTTACAGAGTATGATAAAAGATTATAGAATCAAAACACAAAGATAGTCATGGGAGGTCCTAAAAGGAAATAGGTGCATCTCTAGCAAGTGGCAAAGACAGAGCCTGGAAAAATCTCATGATGATAATAACTTGGCAAAAAAGGTAATTTTATGGAGTGATAACTTCAAAGGTTTCTGGGATTCTTTTTATTAGAATTATCCTTAGTTAACAAGAATATATCACACTTGTATTTGTTGACTATTAGCTGTATGCTGTGTACCAAGTCTTATGGTAGATGCTACCCACTGGAAGTTAGATGTGGTCTCTATTCTCATAAATCATGCAATCTATTGGAGGTGTCATTTGACTAAATGATAATATTAATGTCAAGCCCTACAACCCTTTGGTGGAAAATTCAGGAATATAAAACTGGAACTTTCGACCTTGTATCCAATGTTAGTGCATCTCAAATGAAGTGACAGTGAGGATTACTAGGAATCAACCAGGTAAAGAGAAGACACTAAAGGTTTCCAGTCAGAGGAAATAACATAAGAAAAGGAATGAGTTCATTCAATATGGCTGCAGATAAAGTGTAGGGAGTGAGGATAGAATGGGAGACTGAAAAAGTTAAAAATGGGTTACATCCTGAAGCACTTCACAAACTGGATGCATTCCTTGTAGATTGATTATTAACAAAAAGCCTGACTGGCATTTCTGTATTGAGGGGCATTAGTGATTTTGCTTCTCAGAAAGAACATTGTAGGTGCAGCATTGTGAAATAATTTAGCATAAGGCAAGTTAATCTAAAGGAAACATGATGGTGACCTAAATGAAGGAAATGGTAAAAGCAACAGAGTTAGTCTTTTTTCAAATTAGAGAAAATGGTGGTTATATTTTAGGGGCGAAAGAGAAAAAGAAATTAAAGATAATACTGAAATATTTTAATCTAAAATTAACAGTTTTCCAGGAACTTTGCTAAATGCTTTAAACATCTTTGTACAACCTTGTGAGGCTAAGAACAACTTACAAATGTTAAAACAGGCTAAAGAGGTAAAATGTCTTACCAGTCATCTCACTACCAATAAGTGATGGAACAAAATTAAAAGTAAAAAAACTAATATTTGATTCAGAGCATATATTATCATCCACTGCTTCATTTTAAAGAAGCAACAGCTATTTAGATTCATGGTACATTTAATTACCAATTATAGGTATATATAATTTAATTAATAACCTCATAATTATATAAACTGAAATAAAGTCAGCTGTTCAAAACATTTAAGAAAAATTTATGGGTGCTGTGGAGCCAGCGTTGAGTGAATTTGAGAATGAAGGTACATACAGAGACAGACAATGTTGATTTTCATTGTTCTAAGTAGCAGAGTTAGTGCTGGTAATTGAAATGGCAGTCGTGGCAGATAAAGACAGAACGGAGCAGAGGAGAAATGAATATATCTGAAGAAATGGCAGAAACAGCAAAGACAAAGGCAATCATCCCAGAAATGTCACAGTCCTGGTGAGCTGATACTACTTCAAGAAAAATTTCAGTGACAAATGGATATAACAGGAGCTACATCAGAAGTAGAAGGCAAAAAATAAATGGTGGCCGGGCGCGGTGGCTCACGCCTGTAATCCCAGCACTTTGGGAGGCCGAGACGGGAGGATCACGAGGTCAGGAGATCGAGACCATCCTGGCTAACACGGTGAAACCCCGTCTCTACTAAAAATACAAAAATTAGCCGGGCATGGTGGCACGCGCCTGTAGTCCCAGCTACACGGGAGGCTGAGGCAGGAGAATGGCGTGAACCCGGGAGGCGGAGCTTGCAGTGAGTCGAGATCGCGCCACTGCACTCCAACATGGGCGACAGAGCGAAACTCCATCTCAAAAAAAAAAAATAAATAAAAATAAAAAAAAAATAAATGGTGCTATAGGTGGTGAGAAAAGAAATCTTTGCAGCATATGATACAGTGGTTTGGATCCAAAAAATGACTTTGATACTGATCCAGTTTATATATCGATATTGATATTGAAGTGCTGATACTACTTCAAGAAAAATTTCAGTGACAGATGGAGATTACAAAAGATACATCAGAGATAGAAGGTAAGAAATAAATGGTGCTATGGGTGGTGAGAAAGGAAATCTTTGCAGCAGATAATGCAATGTTTTGGATCCAAATATGACTTTGATAATGATCCAAGTCTACATCTGTATCAGTATTACTTTCCTTTTAATTTGCGAGTAGTATGCCATTGAGTGGATGTACCACAATTTGTTTTGCCATTCAATTCCTTAATGCGTATTTGGGTTATTTCAATTTGGGATACTATGTTTAACTGAATAAGAAATTTTAAAACTTTATTTCCAAAGTGTTTGTACCATTTAATAGTCCCACCAGTAGTGTTGCTTGGCATTCTAGTCCACCCTTTCTCGTGGGCAAGCAGTCATATTGTCTTGTGATTTTAATTTCCATTTTCCTGATAAATAATGGGGTTTTACATCTTTTTATACCATCATGTGTCACCAAACATTTTGGTCAGTGATTGACTGTATACAATGATGATCCCATAAGATTATAATACCACATTGTTACTATGCCTTTTCAATATTTAAATATGTTTGGATACACAAATACTTACCATTCTATTACCATTGCCTACAGTATTCAGTATCGTAATATGCTGTACAGGTTTGTAGCCCAGGAGCAATAGAACCATATAGCCTAGGTGTATAATAGGCTATACCATCTAGTTTCGGATAAGTATGGTCTATGATGTTTACATAATGATGACATGGCCACACAACACATTTCTTAGAATACATCACCCTTATTAAATGATGCATAACTGCATGTATATTGGTCATGATCCTAGTAATGTTTTTATTTAAAATATTTTACATATTTTTTATTGCACTACTTATTTTCACATCTGTGAGTTTTAAGAATTCTTTACACAGGAACACATATGTTTAGCCTGTGGATTGCATTTTAATTTCTCTAACCTTATTTTTTTAAAAATAGAAGCTTTACATTTTTGCAAAGACCATTTTATCAGTTTTTTTAATGTTTCAGCATTATGTTACTAAATTAAATGTTTGACTACCCCAAGTTTGCAAAGAGATACTCCAACATATTCTACAATATCAGATAATTTTGGGGTTTAGCATTCAAAAATTTTAGTCTATGACACATTTTGAGTTAATTTGTATGCTCAAGTATAGATTAAAAATTAAGATAGTCTGGTTTCTACTATTTTAGCACCATTTGTTGAAAATTGCTTTCTTATTAACTTAGCTGTGCTCATTTTGCAAATCAATTGACTGTGTATATGTGTGTTTCCAGACTGTATTCTAAAACCAGTATGCATTTACCTATCTATATCTATATTTATGATAATTTAACACTGCTTTAATTACTGCAACATATTTTAAGACTTGAAATCAAGAAGAAGAAATCACCCAACTTTATTCTTCATTTTCAAAATTATATTAGTTATTACACACTCTTTGTGCTTACATATATATTTTAGAATCAGCTTATACGTTTCTGTAGGTAAACCTTCTTAAAATTTTGACCTAGATTACAATGGATCTGTAGAACAGTTTCGGGAAACATTAATGGTATTCAGTCTTCCTATCCATGAACATGATATATCTCTCCTATTATTTCTTCTTTTATTTCACCTAGTAATATTTGTAGCACTTTAAAATAAAGTTCTTGTACATATTATTACATGTAACCATATTTATTTCATATTTTATACTCTTATAAGTAATGTTATATTTAACTTAACTTTCTAATTGTGTTTTTTCTAAATATACTAAAAACAGTTGATATATGAGTAGTAACCTTTTATTTCCCAATCTTACTAAATCACTTCTTATTTCTATTGGCTTTTTTTAATGCTATCTACATATAGAGTCATTTTTTCTATGAGCTAAGAGAGTTTTACATCTTTCTTTACATTCTGTATGCATTTTATTTTTTCATTACCTTGTTAAACTGGGGATGCCTTCAACTATAATGTTGAATAGCAATAAAACAAAGTTGTTTTCTGTTTCTGCTTCTATTTAGCATTGTAGTTTTCTAAGCAAATTTGAATATGTTGTGTTTAATTTTTGTTAAGTTCAGAATAGTTGTTAAGCATTTTTGTTTTATCTTTTGAAGCATATGTAATTTAGAGATGTGTTGCTCACTTTCTAAACAAGAGTTTTTTTAAAAAAAATTTTTGTTAATTATCAACCCAAAGTCAATGTGATCATAGTTCATATACTGCATAATAATCTTTAAAAATTGTTGAGAGTTCCTCTATAATACTTCATATGGTCTATTTTGTTGAAAATACTATGTTCACTGGAAAAAGAGCATGTATTCTGTTATTGTATAAACTGTTAATAAATGTTAATTATGCTCAATTTGTTCATTATGTTGTTTAGTTCTTTTATAACCTAAGTGATTTTCTGTAGGTGTGGTGTATAAATATGGGAAGAGTGTTATTAAAATACGTAGTTACAATTGTGCATTTGTCTGTTCTAGGTTACATCAGTTTTTACTTTATATATTTTGACATCATTGTTGGGGGACATACAGAATTGTTATGTCTTCTTATTGACTTGTTATCTTTCTCATTGTGAAATTCTCCTCTTTTTTTCTTATTTTCTAAGACTGTATTGTCTTATAGTAATGTAGCCACTGTGGCTTTTTTACACTTTGCATAATATAACTTTTCCCATATTTTATTTTGGTCCTATGTATGTCTTTATATTTCAGTTGAGTTTATGCATACAGCAAGTGGTTGGTCTTTCTTTTTATATCTAGTATGACCATCTCTGTATTTTAATTATAATCTTTAGTCTATTTCCACCCATTTTAACTGTACATATAAATTCATATCTACCATACAGTTTTTTAAAATTGTATCCTCATTTTTCATTTTCTATTTTCTTTTGCATTAATTTAGTATATTTTGGTATTTGATTGCTTATTAACTATGTATTTTATTGTATTTTCATTTTTTCTTTGGGATTTACAATATGCATTTTAATCACAGTATCCCTTCTATTATGTTATACCATTTAATTTTCTGTGCGTGACACTTAAAAGGGTATAATTTCATTTCTCACTTCTTGAATCTTGTGCTATAATAGTACTGTATGTTGCTTCTTCATAAGATATAAAACACACAATGCATTTAAACAATTGATAATATTTTGGAAAAATGTTTAAAGTTAAAAAAACCTGTTTTACATTTACTTTAATATTTATAATTTGTCTGCTAGCATCAATTTTTTTAACCTTTCTTTTTTTATTTCACCTTATTTATGGATATATTTGCTGTATATAAAAGTCTACTTGAACAAATTTCTTCTTTCAGCACACGAAGACTTTATTTTTATTATCTTCTGGATTGCATTGTTTGATATTAAAAGTTAACTGTCATTCATATTGTACTTTTTTTCTATAGGTAATATGGAGTTTTATGGGGAATTCTCACTGTTTTTTAACATTTTAATTATGATGGTTCTTGTGGTATTATTTTCCGTGTATATACTACTTACATTTGTTAAACATCATGGAAATATGTAATTACACTTTATTTATTCAAATATATTCTCCTCATCATCACGACTCTCATTTCTTTAACAATTCCAATTGCATGTGCAAAAATATTTGATAATTTACCTCAGGTAACTGAATCACTGAAACTTTTTTCCTTTCTCATTTTCTTCTCTCGTTCTTTATTTTTGATATATATTATTACTTTATTTTCAAGTTTACTATATGTTTCTTTTGTAGTGCCTAATTAACTTTTAAGTTTCTACAAAAATATTGTTATTACAGCCATTTTCTTTTTTAACTCTCAAATTTCCATCTGGTTCCTTTGTATGTTTTATTTCTTTAGCTATATGTTTTATGTTCCACTATATGGTTTGTTTTGTTGAATGTTTTCCGTGCACCTGAAAAGAGTATGTCTTCTGCTGCTGTGGTGTGAAATGTTTCCTAAATGACAATTAGGTTTTCTTTGTTTATTCTATTGTTCAAGACTTCTACAGCTATTAATATATCTATACGTATTCTTTTTTGTCTTTTAGCTATATGAATGTTAGAGAGAGCTTTAAAATGTCAACCTTTAACTGTAGATATTTGGTTTTCTACAATTTTAGTATGCATAGCCCTGTAAAACATCTTTTTCTGCTGGTTACATCATCTCTCTCTTTTTTTGTTGTTGATTCTATTGAGTGATAATATTCCTAGCTTTGGTCATATATTTTTCTCTTGGCATGTCTAATAATTTGTGATCTGACATTATGCACTATGAGTTATGTTAATGAATTATCACATCAATGAATTATCACATCAATGAGTTACATCATGTTTATGCTGTATGTTGTTTTTATGTAATTTCCCATTGGACTTTAAAAAAAAAATCAGCCTTTTTTTTTCTGATTGTTTTGATCTATTTTAGACTTAGTATTTAGTTTTCCTAAGAAGGGTCCAAAGTAGTGTTCAATTCAAGGCCACTACTATTAATATATGTCCCTTCTGTAGTATCCACTATGTTATCCAGATGATCACGACAGTCTTACTGCTATTATTGTGATTGTCTTGTGGAGTTATACTTCAAAGAAGAGGGACCTAGTACACAGAAAATAAAAGGGACTCCATATGTAGAGGTCTTTTTCTGAGTAATTTCTCCTTTCTAGAACTCTAGCCTGCAATTTTCAATTACCTGAGCATCCTGACACTACTAACTCTGACACCTCAAGTTAGAAGGTCTGCCAAGCTCTGTTTTCTTTTTCATTTCTTGTGTGTACAGTCTTAAAATTGCCTTAATTAATAAAAATATACACACATAGTGCTTGACTTAATATTCACTATGTTTCTCTTCTATTTGTACTTAGAGTTGTATGCTTTTTGTTTAATATTTTTAAAAGTATTATTTTATATATTTTGCAGAGATTTCTAGTTGTTTATAAGGGGAGGTTAAGCCTGAACCTTGTTTTTCCTCAATGACTAGCAGTGGACTTCTAATTATATTTATCACATTAATTATTGAATAAGACTATAAACCTGATCAAAGCAAAGTCTATGTGCGTTCTCACAAGTAAATTCTGTAAATGAGCATAAGGCCATCCAATAAAAAATTTTAATAAATATTGGCTTAATTAATTTCTTTCTAAATTTATGCTCAGAGAGATTAAATTGCTTAAATCACTTACTTGCTTATAGATATTTATCAAGCTACTAAATCTAGGTTTGTCTAGTTTGAAAATCTGCACTGTTTTTGTCAGACCAAACTGATGTGCTAAGACTTCAGTGTGAGTTTTCAAACGAAGTTATTTTTCTGTCATTAGCAGTGATTTTACTATAATCTAAAAGTTCTTTTATCTTTCTTGGGGTATACTAATTTAAAGGAATTAATATGTAATTTTCTATTGTTAGATTAAGTTTGATCTTGGAAGATAATATTTTGCATTTTCTTTAACGGAATTTTATAAAGAAATGCATTTATGAAATATTACTACTCAACAGATATATAGCAATTTGTGTGAGCTCTTTATTTCCTCCCTTTTTAAATCAAATCACCTTTAGACTTCAGAAAAATAGCAAGGAGTTCTTGAGTAAAGCAGATCCTATTTTGCCTCAGTTTTTCATTATTCTTTTCAGGCACACCATATATTTTTTTAAACGCTGATGCCTGAAAACTAACTTTATTTTCTAAATTTACTTAGTTGTTGTCTTGTTTTATTCATTTGCATTGCTTTGTTTTTCTTTAAGAATATTATAACACCAAGTTAGCTTAAGGGATGCCCTCCTTCCTATGATTTCTATTAATTATTCTTTTTTTTTTTTGACGAAGTCTTGCTCTGTCACCAAGGCTGGAGTGCGTGGAGCGATCTTGGTTCACTGCAAGCTCTGCCTCCCAGGTTCAGGCCATTCTTCGGCCTCAGCCTCCCAAGCAGCTGGGACCACAGGAGCCCGCCACCATGCCCGGCTAATTTTTTGTATTTTTAGTAGAGATGGGGCTTCACCGTGTTAGCCAGGATGGTCTCGATCTCCTGACCTTGTGATCTGCCCAGCTTGGCCTCTCAAAGTGCTGGGATTACAGGCAGGCGTGTGCCACTGCGCCAGGCCTTAATTACACTTTTGATAGGAGTTCAAAAATTCATCATGGACGTATAATTTAGCCATGATCTGTAGAAAGAGCAGGAAGTTCAAAAACTTAAATCTACAAGGTAGGTTATTTTATTTGTTTTGAAATTTACATTGGTTTCTTGTATTTTTTATACATTTTTCTTTTCACTACTGTTGTGCTCTAGACTTAAAAGACCAAGCAAAAATAAATGGGTACGCCCCCCCAAAAAAGAGAAAGAATGAGTAAGACTTACTATGTGATAAGACAGCAGCGTGACTATAGTCACTAATAGCTTAGTTGCACATTTAAAAATAAAGAGTATAATTGGAGTGTTTGGAACTCAAAGGATAAATGCTTGAGGGGATCGATACCACATTCTCCATGATTTGCTTATTTCATATTATATGCCTGTATTAAAACATCCCATGTACCCCATAAATATATAAACCTACTATGTAGCCACAAAAATTAAAAATAAAATAAATAAATGAAATAGAAATAAATAAATATTAAAAAGCCAGGAAAATGTCCTCTTCTGTATGTTCTAGACTAAAATGGCAAAGGGCATAGTTCATGCCTGTTTTACCAGGTAATGGTAGCAAAGAGATGCTAGAAAATACAAGGAAAATGAGTAATTTCTGGCCTTTTATTCTACAAATATTTACCGGGCAATATCTCTGCACTAAGCGCTGTTTTAGATAGTAGGAAGCCTGGTAACTAAAGTAAGGTTTCCCATTATAATGAAAACAAATGATTAGAAATAAAAAGATATATAATGTAATATCAGATAGTGATAAGAATTTTCCATATAAATGAAGTAGGTTAAGAGAATAGGGCAGAATTATTCAGTAGAATTCTCTGTAATAGTGGAAATATTTTATATGCTCTATCTAATATGAAAGCTACTAGTTACATTTGATATCAAAAGTGAGATAGAAGACAAAATTTTTAAATTTTAATTTAATTTTTGTTTAAATTTTAAAATAAAATAGGCACATGAGGTTAGTTGCAGAGGGATGTTTCCTCTCTGAAAGTAATATTTAACCAAAATCTGAATGAAGTATGGGAAAGAGTCCTCATTTATCTAGAAGAACACTTCATTTGGAAGGAAGAACAAAACCACTGAGCTAGGGGCATGCTTCGTTGCTGTTCCTATAATGGTTTAAGAAGCTTGTTTGTTCCAATATTTGTGTATTTCAGATTAATCAAAGTACATGCTGCCTTTGCTGGTTGAAGTAAGTAAAAAAGTGGTCCAGAAAATAAAGCTTGTTGCCTCACATACATCATATTATGCGTTCCGAAAGTTATTTCAGTATATACATATGAAAGAAGTATATTTCATCATATCTGAGCTGAGTAAAGTTTTTTGAGCAACTTCATGAAGGAATTGAATTCCTCATACTGTGACCTGCCTCGGTAGTAAGCCAGGTAAATCAAAGTATTGGTGGAATATTTAACATAATATTTGAAACACGTGAACAGGCAAAAATAATTAACTTACTTACCTGACTTCTCTGACACTGGAATGCACTGAAAGTGCCACACAGCGTTTTAGTTTACAAATGACAAGCAGTTAACACAGCGCTTTCCATTATGTTTTTGGATTTTAAAAATTGTAATGAGAGAATATTTAAGTAAAATAAATTACAATTAATTAAATTTATCAAATACAAAATGACATATATGTGCTTAGGACTATGATTTACAGAATACCATTTTTCAGATCATTTATTACCATGATTAAACAAATAATTTAATACAATTATGAATAGTACCTGTATCTATTTTAATCTATGGTATTATATTTCAACCAAGATCAAATTTCATAAAACTATGTAAGAAAATTCTTAACTCATTTTGGTTGTAGAGAAGCTTTATTTTAGTATGGATGATTTGTTTAGTGGAATACTTTCATGGTAGTTCTTTAAACTGATCTAGCCTTACACCATTCAAATAGATTTTAAAAATTCAGAATATATTTTAAATAAAATGTACTTTATTTGTTCTATATATATATATATATATGTAATTACAAATAACTAACAGTATTTGGCAAGTTTAATTACATTCTTCTTCATTATTTTTCTGGAATTTTCCAAGATGTCTTTACTGAGGTTTTTTTTTTTTTTTTTTTTTTAGGCAGCATGGATATTTATGTGAACTCCCTCAGATTCAGGCAACGTCTTCTCAATGGCTTAGGAAATGTCAATTGACAAATAGCACACATAAGCTTGACCCACGTCTTGCATTCCAATCTTGGAGTGACAGCCAAACTTCTTGGAAGGTATTAACTTCCGTGATCTATTGGCACTAAGTAAACAAAAGAGAACACTTTCTGTGCCTCAAGAAAATCCCAATGAATTACAGAAAACAGCAATTAAAAATTAAAAATAACTATTTGTTCAACGATCCGCAAAAATAAGTCTCTTCTGAGAACTTTTGAGTGGCTTTGCACTTAAATTTCTTGTCAAGTTCATAATTCCGAGTGCTATTTAAAATATTTTAGATCAGACAAAATGAAAAAAGGTCTGTCATAAATTCTATCTTACTAGCATACTATTAATACTAAAAATGATAAAGATAGTCTGAAAACAAACTGATGATTGATGTAGGTCAAAAACTATAAAGTACAACAAATGGAGTTTGTCATTTGGCAGTATATCAGAAGAATTATTTCCAAAGACCAAGTAAGACACAGACCTCTAATTCAGGAGCATTCATCATGAGAGAAGTTATTGTCCTAATTCATTATTTCAAAAAAAAGGAAGATAAAGACGTGATAATGTCAATAAATATGAAAAATTATTCAGATAATATTTACTAGTCATTTACTAAAAATTAAGTAAAATAATAAAAGGAAGTAATTGTTAAATATGATCAAGACCATATAAACCAGCCAGGCGCGGTGGCTCATTCCTATAATCTCAGCACTTTGGAAGGCTGAGGCGGACAAATCATGAGGTTAGGAGTTCGAGACCAGCCTGGCCAATATGGTAAAACCCTGTCTCTACTAAAAATACCAACAAATTGGCTGGACGTGGTGGCACGCACCTGTAGTGCCAGCTACTTGGTAGGCTGAGGCAGGGGAATTACTTGAACCCGAGAGGCGGAGGTTGCAGTGAGCCGAGATCGCCACTGCACTCCAGCTGGGCTACAGAGCAAGACTCCGTCTCGAAAACAAAACAAAACAAACAAACAAAAAGAAACACCTCAGTCATTTAGTAAGGTAATTATATTACTGAATGAATGCCTGAATTTTTTTTTTTTTTTTTTTGAGACAAAGACTTGCTCTTATTGCCCAGACTTGGTGCAATCTCGGCTGACTGTATTCTCCGCCTTCCAGGTTCCAGCGGTTCTCGTGCCTCAGCCTCTCTAGTAGCTGGGATTACAGATGCTCACCTCCATGCCCGGCTAATTTTTGTATTTTTAGGTGAGGCGGGGTTTCGCCACATTGGCCAGGGTGGTCTCAAACTCCTGACTGACCTCGGGTTATCTGCCTGCCTCGGCCTACCAAAGTGCTGGGATTACAGGCGGGAGCCACCGTCCCTGGCCTAGAATGGGGCTTTCAATCACTTCTTTTAAAAACAAAATTTTGTAAACCATTTGACTACAAAGATCTATATTTCATGGAATCAACACCTGGATGCTGTACAATATTTTAAATTATGTTTTAATTGGCTTATCTGGAAGTTTTAGCCCCAAGAGGTAATTCCACATACTAAATGTAGGGTTAAGTCGGGGTTAAACCTTTCTTTTCTATCAAATAGAAAGGAGTGGTTGTAAAAGGTGAGAAGAGATATTTCTCCATCACAGATATGTTCTCAGGCAGATCTGTTTTAAAAAAGGGTACATGTGAAGTCAAGAATCTGGAAAATTATTCTTGTAAGACTCAGTCAGAGCAAGCATACCTATAAAACCTTCTTCGCAAGTACAATATCTTGGTTTGAAGACCACACTCAAAAATGTATTCCCTAACAAGATAAAAGGCAAGTAATCCATGAATAATGAAAATGTGTGTCATGAGTCCAACCAAGAAACAAAGAATTTCTTTTTAAAATTTTATGTGGCAGGAAGGTTAGTATGGACTCAAATAGAGACTTTTAGAAAAATTTCTCCTTAAGATTTTGGAAACATAAAAAGTGTCTCTAAAATTAGAAAGTTTGAATCTAATGTATTATTTAATTAAAAAAATAGATAAAAGGGAATATAGTGTATTTATAGTATAGGAATCTAATGTACTATATGGTGTAGTATATTCCTACATTGCCTGTTTCAATAGAAATGTAAAATAATAGATTCAATATTTTATTCAATATTTTATTGATTTCTATTCAATTGAATAGAGTACAGTGTACTATATTCCTACATGACCTGTTTCAGTAAAATAAATATTCGCCAATGGATGTTATAAAAGAAATACTGGAATATGCCCATACATAATTGGGTGATTTAAGCTATATTATGTTTTTTCAAATAATTTAATGTTAAATACAGAAATGATGTAAATAATATTTTATTTATTCTTTTAGTAAAATAAAGGAAGCAAAACATGACTTTTTAATGGTATTTTTACAAGGATTTTTCTCACATAATAAAATTTAATGGCTTAATGGCATATTTCCTTCATTTATAAACATTTCATCATGAAATCTAACATAAAAGTTTACTACATAAATATAATTTATGTTTATATTATTTTAGAAAAACGAAGTTACTCCTTGATGTCCATGCTCAACTTTACAGGTTGCCTTGCTTCCCCTGCGAATTTTTCAGGGAGAGAAAATGCTACCTTTAATCATATGCTTTATTACTTTTTCTAAATGAAATCTTCAGCAATATTTTTCAGCATGTTAAGAAGAGATGCTTAGAATTTGGGACTGAATATGAAAGGAATTCTATAGGTTAAAATTTATATCAACATGAGTAGAGCTAGAAGTAATGATAATCAAATATATCTGCATATTTTAAAAAACTATTTCAACTTATGTTTACAATCATATAATTTATTCATGCTGTATCAGCCATGTGATTACAATAAAGCTACTGTAAGCACCAAGTCTCATTAAGTTTAGCAGGAAGATGAAGCAACCCCAAAACAGAGACACACTAAAGTTGAATTTTTAAATCATTGAACAGAGCACTAAGATTTTATTTCCTAAACTTATTGGAGCATGTAGGATTTGAGGGGAAAATTAATGTAGATGTGTAAACCTTTATGCTTATAATTCTTTTTGTTATTATCTTATGAAAAGTGATTGATGGAAAGTGTTTTAGGATTATTGAAAGACTTAAAGGTAGAAAGCAGGCAGAGCAAGATGACCAAATAGAACCCTCCAACAATCACTCCCTCCAACCCCAAGAACATAAAGTTGAACATCTATCCATGCTAGAAAGCACTTCCATTAGAACCAAAAATTAGGTAAGCAGTCACAGAATATAGTGTTAACATTATATCAAGGAAAGAGGCACTGAAGATGGTAGAAAAGACAGTCTTGGTATCTACACTACCCCTTCTAATCCCTTGGCAGTGGACAGAGAGATTCTGTGTGCTTATGGGAGGGAGAGCAAAGTGATTGTGGGAATTGCATTGGAAATTAATGCTGCTCTGTCACAGAAGAACAAAACACACAGCACAATTCTGGCACCCATGGAGGCAGCAGTTAGACTACCCTCAGCTAGAGAAGATTCCTCTGCCCTAGCAGTATAAACCTGAATTACATCTAATTCCACTATCTGACCAAAGTGGTCTAGAGTCCTAAATAAATTTAGGCCACAAGGCTGCAGTCTTTGGGCAAGCCCTGGGGCTTGGCTAGACTCAGAGTCAGTGGACTTGGTGGGGCACGTGACCCAGTGATACACAAGCTGTGGTGTCCAAGGGAGTGCTTGCATCACCCCTCCCCCAACTTCAGCCAATGCAGCGTGGGAAGAGACTCCATGCCCCTGCAAAATGAAGAGGAAAGAGTACTCTGCCTTGCAAGAGTCTCTGCTTGAGTACTAGCTCAGTTACAGTAAAATAAAGCACAAAGCAGTTTTCTGAAAACCCTATTGCTAAGCCCTAGCTACCGAACGGCTTTTCGTGTTTGTGATGGAGTTTCACTTTTGTTGCCCAGTCTGGAGTGCAATGGAGTGATCTCAGCTCACTGCAACCTCTGCCTCCCAGGATCAAGCAATTCTCCTGCCTCAGCCTCTAGAGTAGCTGGGATTACAGGCATGTGCCACCATGCCCGGCTAATTTTTTGTATTTTTAGTAGAGATGGGGTTTCTCCATGTTGGTCAGGCTGGTCTCGAACTCCTGACCTCAGGTGATCCCCCCATCTTGGCCTCCCAAATTGTTGGGATTGCAGGCATGAGCCACCACGCCCAGCTGGACTGCATTTTTGGATCTGCTGTGGACCCACAAAGGAACTTGCTGTCACACAGGGAAGAACTCAGTCCTGGTAATATTCACTACGTGCTGTCTAAAGATCTCTTTTGCCTTGAATAAACATCAGTGATAGCCAGGAAGTAGTCACCATGGGCCTTGGGACAACCCAGTACTATGCAGGATTCAAGTGTCACTCAGTGTTGTTCTAGCTGTGATGGACATGAGAGTGCTTGCATCACGCTCCCCCCAACTCCAGGTATTCCAGCAAGGAGTGGTGCCTTCTGCTTGAGGAAAAGTGAAGAAAAAGAATGAAAGTCTTCCTGTGAATCCAGGAAATTCTCCTGAATTGTACCCAAGCCCATCAAGGCAGCAGGAATCTGCAAAGTTTTTAAAATTCTTGAGTTGGAGACATTCTCTAGTGCAGATAAAACTGCATTAATCAGAGACTTAGTTTACAACACTTAATTTCCTTTGAATATCTGGAAAGCCTTCTCAAGAAGGATGGATAGAAACAAATCCAGATTGAGATTAGAATAAGTACCCAACTCTTGAATCCTAGATATCAGTGAACATCCACAAGCATCAATAACATCCAGGAAACATGATCTCACCACAATAAGTAGATAAAAACCAGTCACTAATCTCAGAGTGACAGAGGTATGCAGCCTTTCAGACAGAGAATTCAAAATCGCTGTTTTGAGGAAGCCAGATAAACTTAAAACAACACAAAGAAAGACTTCAGAATCCTGTCAGAGAAATGTAACAAAGAGATTAAAATAATGAAAAAGCAAGTAGAAATCCTAGAGTTGAACATTTTAGTTAATAGACTTAAAACTTCTTAGAGTTTCTCAACAGCAGAATTGATTGAGCAGAAGAAAGAATGAGCTAATTTGAAGACACACGATATAAATACACAATCAGAAGAGAAATCATACACAAAAAAAATTTTAAAAAGCATGTCTTTTTGCAGGCAGGATGGCTAAATAGGAACAGCTCCGGTCTGCAGCTCTCAGTGAGATCAATGCAGAAAGCGGGTGGTTTCTACATTTCCAAATGAGTTACCCAGTTCATCTCATTGGAACTGGTTAGACAGTGGGTGCAGCCCAAGGAGGGCAGCCAAAGCAGGGTGGGGCATCGCCTCACCCAGGAAGCGCAAGGAGTGGGGGAACTCCCTCTCCTGGCCTAGGGAATCCATTAGGGACTGTACAGTGCACGCAGGCCCAGATACTGCGCTTTTCCCACAATCTTGGCAACTTGCGGACGAAAAGATTCACTCTGGTGCCTACACCAGCAAGACCCTGGGTTTCCAGCACAAAACTAGGCGACCACTTGGGCAGACACTGAGTTAGCCTCAGGAGTTTTTTTTTTTTTTTCATACCCCACTGGTGCGTGGAGCACCAGCGAGACACAACCATTCACTCCCCTGGAAAGGGGACTGAAGCCAGGGAGCCAAGTGGTCTGACTCAGCGGATCCCTCCACCACGGGGCCAGCAAGCTGAGATCCACTGGCTTGAAATTCTCCCTGCTAGCACAGCAGTCTGAGCTCGACCTGAGACACACAAGCTTATTGTGGGGAGGGGCGTCCACCATTGCTGAGGCTTGAGTAGGCGGTTTTACCCTCACAGAGTGAACAAAGCCAGCAAGAAGTTCAAACTGGGCAAAGCCCAAAGCAACTCAGCAAAGCCACTGAGGCCAGACTGCCTCTCCTCTCTGGGCAGGGCATCTCTGAAGAAAAGGCAGCAGCCCCGTGAGAGACTTATAGATAAAACCTCCAACTCCCTGGGACAGCACGTGGGGGAAGGGGCGGTTGTAGGCACAGCATCAAGAAGACTCAAACATCCCTGCCTGGCAGCTCTGAAGGGAGCAGCAAAACTCCCAGAACAGCATTTGAACTCTGATAAGAAACAGACTGCCTTCTCAAGTGGGTCTCTGACCCTTGTTTATCCTGACTGGGAGATACCTCCCGGTAGGGGCCAACAGACTCCTCACACAGGAGAGCCCTGGCTGGCATCTGGCCGGTGCCCCTCTGGGATGAAGCTTCCAGAAGAAGGAACAGGAAGGAATCATTGCTGTTCTGCAGCCTCCACTGATGATACCCAGGCAAACAGGGTCTGGAGTGGACTTCAGCAAAATCCAGCAGACCTGCAGCAGAGGGGCCTGACTGTTAAAAGGAAACTGACAAACAGAAAAACAAGTATAAACATTAACAAAAGGACTTCCACCCAGATACCCCATCCGAAGGTCACCAACTTCAAAGACCAAAGGTAGATAAATCCACGAAGATGGGGAGAAACCAGCGCAAAAGGCTGAAAATTCCAAAAACTAGAATGCCTCTTCTCCAAAGGATCATAATTCCTCCCCAGCAAGGGAACAAAAATGGATGGAGAATGAGTTTGATGAACTGACAGAAGTAGGCTTCAAAAGGTGAGTAATAACAAACTCCTCCGAGCTAAAGGAGCATGTTCTAACCCAATGCAAAGAAGCTAAGAACCTTGAAAAAAGGTTAGACAAATGTCTAACTAGAGTAACCAGTTTAGAGAAGAACATAAATGACCTGATGGAGCTGAAAAACACAGCATGAGAGCTTTGTGAAGCATATACAAATATCAACAGCCGAATCAATCAAGCGGAAGAAAGGATATCAGAGATTGAAATTCAACTCAATGAAATAAAGTGACAAGACAAGATTAGAGAAAAAAAGAGTGAAAAGAAACTAACAAAGCCTCCAAGAAATATAGGACTATGTAAAAAGACCAAATCTACATTTGATTGGTGTACCTGAAACTGACTGGGAGAATGGAAGCAAGTTGGAAAACACTCTTCAGGATATTATCCAGGAGAACTTCCCCAACCTAGCAAGGCAGGCCAACATTCAAATTCAGGAAATACAGAGAACACCACAAAGTTACTCCTTGAGAAGAGCAACCCCAAGACACATAATCGTCATATCCACAAAGGTTAAAATAAAGGAAAAATGTTAAGGGCAGCCAGAGAGAGTGGTCAGGTTACCCACAAAGAGAAGCCCATCAGACTAACAGTGGCTCTCTCTGCAGAAACCCTACAAGCAAGAAAAGAGTGGGTGCCAATATTCAACATTTTTAAAGAAAAGAATTTTCAACCCATAATTTCATATCCAGCCAAACTAAGCTTCAAAAGTGAAGAAGAATAAAATCCCTTACAGACAAGCAAATGCTGAGATTTTGTTACCACCAAGCCTGCCGTACAAGAGCTCCAGAAGGAGGCACTAAACCTGGAAAAGAACAACCAATACCAGCCCCTGCAAAAAAATACCAAATTGTAAAGAACATCAGCGATATGAAGAAACTGCGTCAACTCACTTGAAAAATAATCGGCTAGCACCAAATGGTAGGATCAAATTCACATGTAACAATATTAACCATAAATGTAAATGGGCTAAATGCCCCAATTAAAAGACACAGACTGGCAAATTGGATAAACAGTCAAGACCCATTGGTGTTCTGTATTCAGGAGACCCATCTCATGTGCAAAGACACACATAGGCTCAAAATAAAGGGATGGAGGAATATTTACCAAGCAAATGGAAAAAAAAAATGGGTTTCAATCCTAATCTGTGATAAAACAAACTTTAAACCAACAAAGATCAAAAGAGACAAAGAAGGGCATTACATAATTGTGAAAGAATCAGTGCAACAAGAGGAGATAACTATCCTAAATATATATGCACCCAATACAGGAGCACCTAGATTCATAAAGCAAGTTCTTAGTGACATACAGAAAGACTTAGACTCCCACACAATAATATTGGGAGACTTTAACACCCCAGTGTCAATATTAGACAGATCAATGAGACAGAAAATTAACAAAGATATCCAGGACTTGAACTCAGCTCTGGATCAAGCGAACCTAATGGACATCTTCAGATCTCTCCAGCCAAAATCAACAGAATGTACATTCTTCTTAGCACCACATAGCACTTAGTTTAAAATTGACCACATAATTGGAAGTAAAACACTCCTCAGCAAAGGCAAAAGAACGGAAATCATAACGAATAGTCTCTCAGACCACAGTGCAATCAAATTATTAGAACTCATGATTAAGAAACTCACTCAAAACCACACAACTACATGGAAACTGAACAACCTGCTCCTGAATGACTACTAGATAAATGATGAAATGAAGGGAGAAATAAAGATATGCTTTGAAACCAATGAGAACAAAGACACAACATACCAGAATACCTGGGACACATTTAAAGCAGTGTATAGAGGGAAATTTAAAGCACTAAATGCCAACAAGAGAAAGCAGTTAAGATCTAAAATGAACACCCTAGCATCACAATTAAAAGAACTAGAGAAGCAAGAGCAAACAAATTCAAAAGCTAGCAGAAGGCAAGAAATAACTAAGATCAGAGCAGAACTGAAAGAGATAGAAACATGAAAATCTCTTCAAAAAAGTCAATGAATCCAAGAGTTGGTATTTTGAAAAGATCAGCAAAATAGATACACTGCTAGCCAGACTAATAAAGAAGAAAAGAGAGAAGAATTAGACGCAATAAAAAATGTTAAAGGGGATATCACCATCAATCCCACAGAAATACGAACTACCATCAGAGAATACTATAAACACCTCTATGTAAATAAATTACAAATTCTAGAAAAAAATGGATAAGTTCCTGGACACATACTCCATCCCAAGACTAAACTAGGAAGAAGTTGAATTCCTGAATAGACTAATAACAAGTTCTGAAATTGCGGCTGCAATTAACAGCCAGCCAACCAAAAAAATTCCAGGACTAGATGGATTCACAGCCGAATTATACCAGAGGTACAAAGAGGGGCTGGTACCATTCCTTCTGAAACTATTCCAAACAATAGAAAAAGAAGGACTCCTCCCTAACTCATTTTATGAGGCCAGCACCATCCTGATACCAAAACCTGGCAGATAAACAGCAAAAAATGAAAATTTCAGGCCAATATCCCTGATAAGCATTGATGTGAAGATCCTCAATAAGATACTGGCAAACTGAATCCAGCAGCACATCAAAAAGGTTATCCACCACAATCAAGCTGGCTTCACCCCTGGAATGCAAGGCTGATTCAACATAAGGAAATCAATAAACCTAATCCATCACATAAACAGAACCAATGACAGAAAAAAAAAAAAAAAACACAGACATGATTATCTCAATAGATGCAGAAAAGGCCTTCAATAAAATTCAACAGCCCTTCATGCTAAAAACTCTCAAAAAACTAGGTATTGATTGAACATAACTCAAAATAGTAAGAGCTATTTATGACAAGCCCACAGCCAATATCATACCGAATGGGCAAAAACTGGAAGCATTCCCCCTGAAAACCGACACAAGACTAGGATACCTTCTCTCACCACTCCTATTCAAGATAGTATTGGAACTTCTGACCAGAACAATCAGACAAGAGAAAGAAATAAATTGTATTTAAGCAGGAAGAGAGGAAGTCAAATTGTCTCTGTTTGCAGATGACATGAGTCTATATTTAGAAAACCCCATAATCTCTGATCAAAATCTCCTTAAACTGATAAGCAACTTCAGCAAAGTCTCAGGATAGAAAATCAATGTGCAAAAATCACAAGCATTCCTATACAAAAAATGACAGAGAGCCAAATGGTGAGTGAACTCCCATTCACAATTGCTACAAAGAGAATAAAATACCTAGGAATAAAACTTACAAGGGATATGAAGGACCTTTTCAAGGAGAACTACAAACCACTGCTCAAGGAAATAAGAGAGGACACAAACAAATGGAAAAACATTCCATGCTCATGGATAGGAAGAATCAATATCTTGAAAATGGCCATGCTGCCCAAAATGATGTATAGATTTAATGCTATCCCCATCAAGCTACCATTGACTTTCCTTAAAGAATTGGAAAAAACTACTCTAAATTTTATATGGAACCCAAAAAAACTCACATAGACAAGACAATCCTAAGCAAAAAGAACAAAGCTGGAGTCATCATGCTACCTGACTTCAAACGACACTACATGGCTACAGTAACAAAAACAGCATGATACTGGTACCAAAACAGATATATAGACCAATGGAACAAAACAGAGGGCTCAAAAATAACACCAGACATCTACAACCATCTGATTTTTGACAAACCTGACAAAAACAAACAATAGGAAAGCATTCCCTATATAATAAATGGTGTTGGGAAAACTGGCTAGCCATTTCCAGAAAGCTGAAACTGGATCCCTTCCTTATACCTTATACAAAAATTAACTCAAGATGGAATAAAGACTTAAATGTATGACTTAGGACCATAAAAACCCTAGAAGAAAACCTAGGCAATACGATTCAGGGCATAGGAATGGGCAAAGACTTCATGACTAAAACACCAAAAGCAATGGCAGCAGAAACCAAAATAGACAAATGGGAACAAATTAAGCTAAAGAGCTTGCACACAGCAAAATAAACTATCATCAGAGTGAACAGGCAACCTACAGAATGGGGGAAAATTTTTGCAATCTATCCATCTGAAAAAGGGTTAATATTCAGAATCTACAAAGAACTTAAACAAATATACAAGAAAAAACAAACAACCCCATCAAAAAGTGGGCAAAGGAAATGAACAGACATGTCTCAAAAGAAGACATTTATGCAGTCAAGAAACATATGAAACAAAGCTCAGTTATCACTGGTCCTTAGAGAAATGCTAATCAAAACCACAATAAGATACCATCTCATGCCAGTTAGGATGGCGATCATTAAAAAGTCAGGAATCAACAGATGCTGGAGAGGATGTGGAGAAATAGGAATGCTTTTACATTGTTGATGGGAGTGTAAATTAGTTTAACTATTGTAGAAGACAGTGTGCCGTTTCCTCTAGGATCTAGAACTAGAAATACCATTGGACTCAGCAATCCCATTACTGGGTTTATACCCAAAGGATTATAAATCATTCTACTATAAAGACACATGCACACTTATATTTGTTGTGTCACTGTTTACAATTGAAAAGATTTGGAACCAACCCAAATGCTCATCACTGATAGACTGGATAGTGAAAATGTGGCACATATACACCATGGAATACTAAACAGCCATAAGAAAGGATGAGTTCATGTCCTTTGCAGAGACATGGATGAAGCTGGAAACCATCATTCTCAGCAAACTATCTCAAGAATAGAAAACCAAACACCGCATGTTCTCATTCATAAGTGGGAGTTGAACAATGAGAACACATGGACACAGGGAGGGGAACATCACACACCAGGGCCTTTCAGGGGGTTGGGAGGTAGTGGTGGGATAACATTAGGAGAAATACCTAATGCAGATGACGGGTTGATGGGTGCAGCAAACCACCATGGCACGTGTATACCTATGTAACAAACCTGCACGTTCATACATGTACCCCGGAACTTAAAATATAATAAAAAAGCATGCCTACAAGATTTACAAAATAGCCTCAAAAGTGCAAATCTGACAGTTATTGGTTTAAAAGGGGAGATTGAGAGAGAGAATGGCATAAAAAGTTTCTTCAAATAAAACATAACAACTTTGCAAAACTAGAGGAAGATATCAATATCCAAGTACGACAATATAATAGAACACAAAGCAGATTTAAATCAAATACAACTACCTCAAGACAGTTAATAATGAAACTCCCAAAGGTCAAGGTTAAAGAAAGGATCTTAAAAGCTTTTTAATAGGCTCCAATATTTCTGTTAGTAGACTTCTTAGTGGAAACCTGGCTAGCCAGAAGAGCATGGCATGATATATTCAAAGTGCTGAAGGAAAAAAAGGACAATTTTTTTTCCTACGATTTTATATCCAGAACAAAAAATCCTTATCACATGAAGGAGAAATAAAAACTTTCCAAGACAAACAAAAGCTGAGATAGTTTGATGCATACCAAACCTGTCCTACAAGAAATGCTTAAGTGAGTTCTTTGATCTGAAAGAAGAGTCATTAATGAGCAATAAGAAATCATATAAAGATACAAAACTCACTGGTAACAGTAAATAAACAGAAAAATACAGAATATTCTAACACTGTAATTGTGTTGTGTAGACCACTCATATCTTGAGTAGGAAGACTATGGACAAACCTATCAAAAATAATAGCTACAATTTTTTAAGAGATAGAGAGTATAAAAATATAAATAGAAACAACAAAAAAATTAAAAATCAGGGAAATGAACTTAAAGGGTACAGTTTGTATTAGTTTTTTTCCCCCCTTATGTTTCAGACTTTTCTTTTTTTATTATCATTATACTTTAAGTTCTAGGGTACATGTGCACAACGTGCAGGTTTGTTACATATGTATACATGTGCCATGTTGGTGTGCTGCACCCATTAGCTCATCATTTACATTGGGTATATCTCCTAATGCTTTCCCTCCCCCCTCTCCTCACCCCACAACAGGCCCTGGTGTGTGATGTTCCCCTTTCTGTGTCCAAATGTTCTCATTGTTCAATTCCCATCTATGAGTGATAACATGCAGTGTTTGATTTTTTTTCCTTGGGATAGCTTGCTGAGAATGATGGTTTCCAGCTTCATCCATGTCCCCACAAAGGACATGAACTCATCCTTTTTTATGGCTGCATAGTATTCCATGGTGTATATGTGCCACATTTTCTTAATCCAGTCTATCATTGATGGACATTTGTGTTGGTTCCAAGTCTTTGCTATTGTGAATAGTGCTGCAATAAACATCCGTGTGCATGTGCCTTTATAGCAGCATGATTTATAACCCTTTGGGTATATACCCAGTAACGGGATGGCTAGTTCTAGATCCTTGGGGAATTGCCATACTGTCCTCGACAATGGTTGAACTAGTTTACAGTCCCACCAACAGTGTAAAAGTGTTCCTATTTCTTCACATCCTCTCCAGCACCTGTTGTTTCCTGACTTTTTAATGATCACCATTCTAACTGGTGTGAGATGGTATCTCATTGTGGTTTTGATTTGCATTTCTCTGATGGCCAGTGATGATGAGCATTTTTTCATGTGTCTGTTGGCTGCATAAATGTCATGATCAAGTGGGCTTCATCCCGGGGATGCAAGGCTGGTTCAACATATGCAAATCAATAAACGTAATCCAGCATATAAATAGAACCAAAGAGGAAAACCACATGATTATCTCAATCGATGCAGAAAAGGCCTTTGACAAAATTCAACAGCCCTGTCCAGGCGCAGTGGCTCAAGCCTGTAATCCCAGCACTTTGGGAGGCCGAGGTGGGTGGATCACAAGGTCAGGAGATCAAGACAATCCTGGCCAACATGGTGAAGCCCCATCTCTACTAAAAATACAAAAAAATTAGCTGGGTGTGATGGCAGGCACCTGTAGTCCCAGCTACTCTGGAGGCTGAGGCAGAAGAATGGCATGAATCCAGGAGGCAGAGTTTGCAGTGAGCCAAGATTGCGCCACTGCACTCCAGCCTGGGCGACAGAGCAAGACTCAGTCTCAAAAAAAAAAAAAAAAAAAAAAATTCAACAGCCTTTCATGCTAAAAACTCTCAATATATTAGGTATTGATGGGATGTATCTCAAAATAATAAGAGCTATTTATGACAAACCCACAGCCAATATCATACTGAATGGGCAAAAACTGGAAACATTCGCTTTGAAAACTGGCACAAGACAGGGATGCCCTCTCTCACCACTCCTATTCAACATAGTGTTGGAAATTCTGGCCAGGGCAATCAGGCAGGAGAAAGAAATAAAGGGTATTCAATTAGGAAAAGAGGAAGTCAAATTGTCCCTGTTTGCAGATGACATGATTTTATATTTAGAAAACCCCATCATCTCAGCCCAGAATATCCTTAAGCTGTATTAGTTTTACCTTAAATTAAAATATACTACTAGAGCAAATTACTTTTAGACAAAGAAATACAGGTAAGAAAAAGGTAGAGAGGATCATGAAGCAACCAGAAAACAACAAACTGGCAGTAGTAAGTCCTTACCAATTAATAATAGCATTGAATGTAAAGGGACTAAACTTCCCATCAAAAGGCATAGGGTGGCAGAATATGTTTTAAAAAACCAATAAAATATAATATAATAAATTATCTGCTACCTATAAGAAACTCACTTCACCTATAAAGACACATGTAGGCTAAAAACAAAGGGATGAGAAAAGATATTTTATGCAAATGGACACTAAAGAAGAGCAGGAGTAGCTATTATCAAATCAGATAAAATAGATTTAAAGATAAAACTATAAAAAATACAAGGAAGGACATTATGTAATGATAAACGGGTCAATTCATCAGGAGGTTACAACAGTTTTATTTATGCACCTAACACTGGACCACAAATATATTTATAAAGCAAATATTACTAGAAGTAAAGAGAGAGATAGGCCCTCATACAATAATAGCTTGATACCTCAACATTCTACTTTCAGCATCAGACAAACCATCCAGAGAGAAAATCAACAAAGGAACATTGGACATATTCTGCACTATAAACTAAATGCACCTAATAGATATTTACAGAATCTAACAGCTGTTGTATACACATTCTTTTCCCCAGTAAGTGGATTATTCTCAAAGATAGACCATATATTAAGCCACAAAATGAGACAGAAAACTAAAAAAAAATTCAAATCAAAATAAATTAAAGTCTTAAATGAAACACCTGAAATTATGAAACTACTGAAGGAAAACTTTGGGGAAATTCTCCACGACATTGGTCTGGACCAATATTTCTTGAGAAATACCACAAAAGCACAGGCAACTGAAGCAGAAATGGACAAATGGGATCACAGAAAGGTAAAAAGCTTCTGTGCAGCAAAGGAAGCAATCAGCAAAATGAAGAGACAATGCACAGAATAGTAGTAAATATTTGCAAACTACCCATCTGACAAGGAATTAATAAATAATATATAAGGAGACCAAAAACTCAACAGAAAAAAAATCAAATAATATGATTTTAAAATGTATAAAAGATCTGATAGGCATTTCTCAAAGGAAGACATACAAATAGCCAACAGGCATAAAAAAATATGCTCAACATCATTAGTCATCAGAGAAAGTGCAAATAAAAATTACAATGATATTAATCTCATACCAATTAAAACTGTTTTTCCCCAAAGACAGGCAATAATAAATGTTAGTGGGATTGTGAAGAAATGGAAAACTTCGTACATTGTTGGTGGGAATGTAAGTAAGTACAGCTACTATGGAATGTAGTACAGAGGTTCCTCAAAAAACTAAAAATAGAACTGCCACGTAATCTAGCAATTCCACTACTAGTTAATATAATCAAAAGCAAGAAAATCAGTATATCAAAGCTATATCTGCACTCCCATGTTTATTGCAGCATTATTCACATTAGGCAAGATTTAGAATCAACCTAAGTGTTTATCAACAGATAAATCAATACAACACGTGGTACATATATGCAATGAAATATTATTCAGCCATAAAAAGGCATAATATCGTATCATTTGCAACAACATAAATGGAACTAGAGGGCATAATATTAAGTAAAATGAGCTAGGCACAGAAACACTCATTTTGCATGTCCTCGCTCATACGTGGGAGCTAAAAATAACAAAAATAGAACTAATAGAGATGGAGAGTAGAATGATGCTTACTAGAGGCTGGGAAGGGAAGAGAGGAAGTGGGGAGAAGTGGTGATAATTACTGAGTGCAGAAATACATCTAGATAAATTAAATAATATCTAGTATTTCATAGCAAAATAGAGTGACTATAGTAAGCAATAATTTCTTTTATATTTAAAAATAACTAAAAGAGTGGAATTTGAATATTCCTAACACAAAAAAGATAAATGTTCAAGGTGAGGGATATCCCAATTACCCTGATATGATCATTACAAATTGTGTGCCTGTATCAGAACATTACATATAACTCATAAATATATGCATGTATCATGTACCCATAATAACTAAAAAAAAGAAATTTTAAAGATTTTAGGGATTTTTAAATGAGTGATATAAAAAGATGAAAAGTAAAGCAGATAAAGAGAAAAGCGGTATATTTTTATAATATATTTAATAATTTATTATATATTCAATATATTATGTATTAAATTTATTATATATTCAATTATATACTTAATTATTTATTATATACTCACTATATTGTACATATCCACTTTATTGTGTATACATAATGTATATAATATCACATATATATCATATAGATATAATTTGGGCCTAAGTTGCCTTCTTAGATTCATTTTCATTGTTTATAATTACTAAATATTAATACTCTTTTATAATACAGAAAGGCACTTTTGCACACTAATTTTATTAAATGTGCATCAGGTATATGTATTCATGTTACTATGATACATCTTGTCAAGTGGGGAAAAACCCAGCATAGGTTATCTTTATTACTGATTACAACTAAAAACTTTGGTCAACAACCTGAGGACTCTGAATGGTAAAGCAATACAACCAGGTTGAGACACAAAGTCAAAAGTTAAAGTGACCTGTATGGGTTGCATGTAAGTATGAGTTTGCTTGCATGCTCTATCTCACACACTGTCTCTCTCTCTTTCTCTCTCTCTCATCATATGTATGTGAATTTGATTATTTGCATAAAGCACAGCATGAATAATTATTTGCCACATAAGATCCTTTTTATATTGACTTTGAAGGAACTTTGTTCTATCTCAGAAAAGACTTTTTAAAGCCTTAAGCCTAGTCATGGTTTATTTGTGTCATTAAATTCCTTTGTGAGTCAGATATATTCCTCTCCACTTGAGGTCTCAAGACAACGTGGGGCTCCTCAGCTTGTTAGAAAGTTACATTCTATTGCCCAGAACCAGTCTCAAAAAATAAAAAGAAAAAAGAGAAAATTTACCTTCTTTATTTGCCACAAGTAAGGAACTCTGTACAAGGACTGTATAGACAAGGTATGATGTCAGTTTCCCCAAAAGGCTTTCATTGGCTGTATAAGTCAAATTGTATTTCTTAAAGGAAAGCATGCCATTCCAATCAAAGCCTTGGTAAAATAACCAGTATCTCCAATTGTGTCCTTTTGCAAAAGAAAACATTCTTTTTTTAAAAAAAATATGGAATGCTTCATGAATTTGCATGTCATCCTTGTGCAGGGGCCATGTTTATGTCTGTATCCGTCCAATTTTAGTATGTATGTTGCCAAAGTGAGCACAGAAAACAGATTCTTATCACACTTATGCAAATAAATATATTGCCATAAGTTAAGAATACTCAAAAATAGTTTCCAAATTCTGGAGAAATCAGATAGAGAGAAATATGTTCCAAATTTTATTTATAGGATTATACTTTATTCAATTGTTCAAAGCTGTAAAAAGCTCAAAAGTTTTCTTCACTTTAAAAAAATGAAGAACTAGCAACGTTTTAAGCAGAGCCATAAAAGGATTATTTTAGTCTTCTATTAGTTCAGTCCATGTAGTCAACTACAGTTTTGCTAGAATTCATAAACATTTCAGCTCTCCATGGGAGTCCTGAAAGTTTTTCCTCTTTTCTAATGTCACAACATCCGAAGTTATCAGAAACGTGCATTTAAGAGCACCTGTTAGAGTCCTTTAGATTATAAAACCTTTTAAAGAGGATTAACATAAAACAATAATTGTCTGTGGATCACAAAAAGTCTTAGGGCAGCCACAGTTAAAGGCATAATTGACAAAGAAATTGATTACCTCTGTGGCACACAATAATTTAACATAACAATTATAATTATTAGCATATGCCAAAAACACATTTATAGAAATACAGTCCAAAAAATGCCATATTTTACCTCTGCATTAGTGTAGTATTGATGTCAAACCAAATTCTTGATAAAACATTATAGATAAATATATCCAATCTTAATTAGTTTGACCATAAAGTAAGATTCTCATAAACCTTTTATAATTTTTTTTACAATTTTTTTAATGAAAAGTTCAATGCTTTAATACAAGCTTATCCAACCCATGGCCTGTGTACTGCATGTGGCCCAAGACATCTTTGAATGTGAACCAACACAAATTCATAAACTTTTTAAAAACATTATAATTTTGGGGGGGACTTTTTTTTTAGCTCATCAGCTAACATTAGTGTTAGTAGTTTTGTGTGTGTGTGTGGCCAGAGACAAGGCTTCTTCTTTCAATATGGCCCAGGAAGCCAAAAGATTGGCCACCCCTGCTCTAATAAAACTCTGTTGTGCTTTCATTCAAATATTATATTTATGAAGAAAACTGAATAATACTTCTTTATAGTTGATATGTTCACACACAGAATTTCTTTTACAAGGTTAATCTTTTGTGAACCTTCCACAACTTTCTTAAATGTTCAGCTTTATCCTATCTAACTTAAAACAATCCTTTAACCTTCTAAACTAGGCAAAATAGTTCACATTTCCTGCCTTTTTATAACATTTTACTAAAAACATGTTCTTGTTTCCTTACATAACTTGCATGTAAAACTGTTTTTCCAGTAGTCTTGAGTACATGTTATACTATTAACTTTTAGCAGCTTTTACTTTTGGTGAAAAACCTGGTAAATAGTGATTCTAATTATGTACTAGGTCTGGAGCCTAGGACACCCAGCAGTGCAGGTAAGGCCTGACCTTTTCTAGCATAGCAAGGAGGCATGGCTAACTCTGTATGTTCCAAAGCCTTACCTATCTTTAAAGTAGGCAAGTTGTACAGTTAAGGATCATAGTAGCAATCTATGACATTAAAGCTTTTAGTAGACCTAATACCTTTTAAAACTGTACATTGTTAATAAATTTCCTTTCATGAATTTTTATGACTTACACAGATCATCTATGACATGCTTTGACTTTCTGACTTTTCTTATCTTTTCAAACAACCAGTCATTTTACTTTAGGGCAAGGATTTAACATATAGGATGCTTTGTCACACAAAATCTCTTCCTTTTATAATATTCGTTACCAAATGGGATTCTGGAATAAACTGATCTTACTGTTTACACCACATCTTGCCTTCATCTCTGATATGGTAATCTGCTAGGCAGGGACCACACTTCTTCTCTGTCCGATGGGTCTCTTGTTCTTAAGGTCTTGGGCTAGCCTATATTCTTGTCTCCATGACCTTATAGTGACTCTTTCAAGGAGCATTTTAGCAACAAAATGTTTATATCTTTTCTTATAATCTTGTATCATGTGTTCTTTAAATCAATGAGAAGATGATTTTTCAGGTAACTGCTGCAAAAGAGCTAAACTTCCTTCCCTTGCAATATGACCCTGAAGGTCCTGATACATATTGAGAAGGGTTTGGAAGTGATTAGAAGAAATGGCTCTTACAGGAGGAAGTGAGATGAAGCTATAGGAATACTCATGGAAAGCCTTTATATGCTTGCAAAAAACAGTAGGCCTTGGATTTGAGAGGGCAATGTTTATTTGCCCTCTCGACATAAAGAAGTAACCTCCAGAAGACTTTGGACTTGGGAGAAAAACTTGCAAATGGAAAAGAAACAATTTCCCCTCCTCCAAAAAAGGAGCTAACACATAACTCATAAAGGAAACTAAGTGGGATCTTTAAACGACCAGTGTGAGATACTATGATGCAGCACACTGCTTCAAAAGCCACGGGAAAACTCAGCCCTGGGGCATAGCATGAACAAAAAGCATATGGTAAGTCGCAAGAAGCTGGCAGAGCTGGGGTTCTAATTAGTGTGTTTTTAAGAAGTCACAAGGCCTGTGAAGTGAAAGCAAAGAGGCAGACTTGCCTGTGGGGTGGATGGTCTTGTGGGTGCACAAGACCATTTTAAAATACACACAGAGAAAACAGGAGAATAGATGGTACTAGTTTGTAAAAAAAAAAGCTGATGTTAGTTGTGAAAGGAGAGGAAACTTACAATCATGATAGAAGACATCTCTTAAGGAAGCAGGAGAGAGAATGAGTGCTAGCAGGGGAAATGCCAGATGCTTATAAAACCATCAGATTTTGTAAGGACTCACTCACTATCACGAGAACAGCATGGGGGAAATGTCCCCATGATTCAATTATCTCCCACGGGTCCCTCTCCTGACACGTGGGGATTATGAGATTATAGTACAAGATGAGATTTGAGTGGACACACAGAGCCAAACCATATCATTCTGCCCCTGGCCCCTCCCAAATCTCATGTCCTCATGTTTCAAAACACAATCATTTCTTTCGAGCAGTGCCCCCAAATTCTTAGCTCATTCCAGCATTATCTCAAAAGTCCACATCCAAAGTCTCATCTGAGACCATGAAAGTCCCTTCCACCTATAAGCCAGTAAAATCAACAGCAAGTTAGTTGCTTCCTAGATACAATGAGGGTACAGGCATGGGGTAAATACACCTGTTCCAGTTGGGATAAATTGGCCAAAAGAAAGGGGCTATAAGCCCCAGGCAAGTCTATAATCCAATAGAGTAGTGTTAAACCTTAAAGTTCCAAGGTGATCTCCTTTGACTTCATTTCTCACAACCAGGTCACTCTGATGCAAGAGGTGGGCTCCCACAGCCTTGGGCAGCTTCATGCCTTTGGCATTGCAGGGTACGGCCCCACTCCTGGCTGCTTTCATTGGCTGGTATTTAGTGTCTGCGGCTTTTCCGGGTGCATGGTAGAAGCTGTCAATGGATTTATCATTCTGGAATCTGGAGGACAATGACCCTCTTCTCAGAGCATCACTAGGAAGTGCCCCAATGGGGATGCTTTGTGGAGGCTTGGACCCCACATTTCCCTTCCACACTGCCCTGGCAGTTGTTCTCCATGAAGGCATCACCCCTGCAGCAAACTTCTGCCTGGACATACAGGCTTCCCCTACATCCTCTGGAATCTAGGTGGAGCTTCCCAAACCTCAATTCTTGTCTTCTGCACACCCACAGGCAAGACTGACACCAAGTAGAAGCTGCCAAGGCTTGAGGCAGGCACCCTTCAATGCAATGGCCTGTGCTGTACCTTGGGTTTTAGCCATGGCTGGAGTGTCTCGAATGAAGGGCACCAATTCCATTTTTTCCCTCCTATGGCTCCAGGCCCGTTAGGAGAGGGGCTGCCACAAAGGTCTCTGACATATCATGGAGACATTTATCTAATTGCCTTGGTGATTAACATTTGGCTCCTTATTACTTATGCAAATTTCTGCAGGTGGCTTGAATTTCGACTCAGAAAATGGATTTTTTTTCTATTGCATCATCAGACTGAAAATCTTTCAAACTTTTATGCTCTGCTTCCTCTCAAATGCTTTCCTACTTAGAAATTTCTTCTGTCAGATACCCTAAATCATCTCTTTCAAGTTCAAATTTCCACAGATCTCTAGGGCAGGGGCTAAATGTCACCATTCTCTTTCCTAAAGCACAGTAAGAATCACCTTTATTACAGTTTCTAACAAGTTCTTCATCTACATCTGAGACAACCTCAGCCTGGACTTAATTGTCCATATCATTATCAGCAATTTGGTCAAGCCATTCAGCAAGTATCTAGGAAGTTCCAAGCTTTTTTGCATCTCTCTGTTTCTGGAACCTTCCAAGTCTCTAGGAAGTTCCAAACTTTTCTACATTCTTCTGTCTTCTTCTGAGCCCTCCAAACTGTTCCCTCCAAACTGAGCCCTCCAAAGAGCCCTCTGCCTGTTACCCACTTCCAAAGTCATTGCCACATTTTTGGGTATCCTTACAGCAGCACCCCACTCCCTCAGGACCAATTTACTGTATTAGTCCATTTTCACACTACTGTGAAGAAATACCTGAGACTGGGTAATTTATGAAGAAAAGAGGTTTAATTGACACTCAGTTCTGCATGGCTGGGGAGGCAACAGGAAACTTAAAGTCATGGTGGAAGGCACCTCTTCACAGGGCATAAGGAGAGAGAATGAGTGCTAGAAGGGTAAATGCCAGATGCTTATAAAACCCTCAGGTTTCATGAAAACTTATCATAAGAACAGCATGGAGGAAACTGCCCTCATGGATCAACCACCTCTCACCAGATTTCTTCCACACACATGAGGATTACAACATTACAATTCAAGATGAGAATTGGGTGGAGACACAGAGCCAAATCATGTTATTTGTTTTGCTTTAATGTGTTTATTATTGTGACTAATACTGCTATGAATGTCAGTATTTTTTTTCTTCTTGTGGACCAGTGCTTTTACTTATCTTGAACAAATATCTCTAAATTTTCTGGTTGTATAATAAAAAGCTTGTTTATCTTAAGTGGCTGTATCAATTTTTATTTTTACCAGCAATGGATTTCTCCTAGAGTAAGCATTCCAAGAGGCTTAGATGGGATGTTTCTATATTTAGCCTTGGAATACCCAGAATACTTGTTCCATAATGTATTACTTAAACAAGGTATTCGGGTGGGATTAATCAAACTAGAATTCTAAAACAAAAAAAGAAAAAAGTTCAAGCAACACACAGGAAAGGCTAGAAAAATACAGGAAAGGCTACTAAAAATACAAAAATTAGCTGGATGTGGTGGTGCGTGCCTGTAATCCCAGCTACTCAGCAGGCTGAGGCAGGAACCATGGTTATATCTACTGTACATCCTTGACTGAGATGGCTTATGTTGTCTATGACATGGTACACAAACACACCACACACACAGGCACACAGACATTCTACACACACAACACACACACACCCATCCTATTAGTTCTTTTTTTCTGAATAATTCTGACTAACGCAACCATTTTGTCTCATTTTTTTTTCTAATTTTTTAACATAATCAGATTCATGGGCTCACTGTTAAAATTAAAATTCATCTTCTCCAATTGCTCCTTCTCAACTCCCTTAATAGAAATGCAGGCTCACGAGGGCCCCACCCTAAACTATCTTTGATTTTTAATTTCTTATAGTTAATCTGAACATTCTTATTTTATTGCCTTTATTTATTATTGCATGTTAGATACGAAAAGGATCTATTTCTAGCACTCACATATATTGAGCTCTTGTCATTGGGTCTGTTTAGTGAAAATACTTCATTTCAAGAATCTCTTTTCTGCTGCTGTCCTTAAAGAAATAAAAAGTAAAAGTGAATCTTATTTTGTGTCCCCTCCAACTGTTTTTAAAGCTTGATTTTCAAAACACATTTGCCTCTAATAATTTCATTTAATAGATTTTGAATCTGTACTTGTGTGTATTATAGGCAGCTCAGATTAGACCTCATTTTTTGCTGATTCTGTGAATTGCTAGCCCTTGTCCTACATTTTCAATTAAGATTAATGATACCACCTATTTATGTGATAGCAGCCTTAAAAGTTTCTATGACTTGCCATTCTCTCTCTCCTCTTTCATCTCTATGCTCTTATTGCCAAATAAAAATGAAAAAGGGCAGACTACTACTAAATGCAACAACCAGAACTAATGTCACCAATATTGTCTAAGCAAAAGGACCTAGATAAAAAGTACTGCATAATATGCACAGCGATTTATATACATTGCATAAAATATATCTATGGTGATATGTCAGCAATGGTGAACATTGAAAGGATATTGACTATAACGATTCTTGAGAAAGGTTTACAAGATGCTGGTAATATTTGACGTCTTGATTTGGACAATGAATACATAGGTCTATTAACATTACATAATTGTCAAATTTTGGCTAGATAGTGTAGCATATTAATCACAATTATTTTAAACTCCGTGTATGAAATTTCTCACTTCTGGGGCTTTTTAGTTATGATTCTGTAGACAATTTATCTTTTTGTCTCCTTGCTTTCTCGGATTGTTTCAGAATTTTTGACTGAATGTTGTATATTTTGTACAGAAGAGTCAAGACTAAGATAAATATTACTTTAATAGGTACTCTTTTTCTCTTATATACATTAACATGAAATGTTGAGTCTATTTAGTCAGTGGTTAAGGTGAGTTTGAGTTCTCTTACTGGCCCAGTTACCTTCCGAGTGGCCCAAGATGGCTCATAGATCAATCAGGTAGCCAGCTGTTTTTGGAAAGAAGAATTGGAATACTTAATAGAAAAGGCTACAAGCTGGGTACCAATGTGTGTGACCACACACCAGGCAGAGGAGGACACTTGTTGTTCCATGTTGCTATATTAATATTTTCTTGGTGTGAATGGGTACATGGGTTTTGGGAATGAGAAGTGGTCTGAAGTAATTGGGGAAGACTGTGCATTGGGCATTTGTCTCACTGTTGCTCCTCTCTACTCCCTTTTAAAGAAAATGTATAAATACTAAATCTCCTAAGAACCTCTTCGGAAAAAAAAGCCACAGATGCTTCTGTGATCCACAATTTTCTGGGTGTGGCCTCAAATTGGGTCAATAAACCTCAGTGATTTGAGACTCTTGCCTCAATTACTCAATTTGGTTGTCAAAACTTTCCAAGACTAAATATGATTGTTTAATTTCACATTTTTTATTTCCATAATCATTGAATAATTTGGGACACTTGTATTTCTTTTGTTATCTGTCTCATATATATATTTCCTATATATGGGAGAATTAGATGTATATAAATTTTCTATTTTATTACCATATTCTTAAGCTTTTTATAACAATTCAATATATCAAAGATATTAAAACTTAAACTACAATATATGTATCTATCATTTACAATTTGTAATTTTCTTTTCAAATTTAGTGTGTTTGATGTTTTTGAAACATAGACATTGCAAAATATAATAATTTAATGTTTTATAAGTTTAGAATTTATGTCAGAAATTGTCTACCAACTATTTACATATGAATTATGTTATATTAATTGTATGTAATTTTTAAATTTAATGTTTTATTTCATAAGATCTTATCTATTTTTATAATATTTTTCCAAATAATTTATATATATATTTATATAAATATATATACTCTATGGAATCTTTCTAGCCACATCAGAGCTATTCAGAGCTTAAACTAAACCTTTGAGTATTATTTGGTTTTACGATAAACATTTATTTAGTCTTTTATTGAACATTTGTAACCATTTTTGATAAATGCCAAGGAGTGCAAATGCTCAGTCACAGGATATGTCTATGTGGTGTTTCGGTAGGTTTTAGCAAATTTGTTTTCCAAGTGATTGTATACTCCCACTACCTGTGTATTTCCAGTGTCTTTTCAAATTTTAAATACTCATTTAAAACATATTTTAAATGCAAAGATACATTATAGTAGTTATTTTAATAAGTATATAATATTTATTTGAATTTATGACTTTCCCCAGCAGTATTCCAAATACTTGAAGTTACACTCAAAGATTATTATTATACCTTATCTTGAATAGTCAATAAATAAACTAATCTTTTCCATTAAAATGCTAAGAGGAAAATTCAACAAGCTGATGTCTTCAGGATTGCATGAGCTTCTGTCACTTTTTGGAGGGTGAGTCTATCCATATTTGTGTGTGTGTGCCATCCTCTGATACTTTTGTACATTCAAATCCATCTTATCTCCAATACTTTTGTTTACTACAATTTTTAAATTGTTAACTCTTTCTTCCCCCACCCCTACTTCTGTACTTGCTCTGTTACCCTCTGCATTAGTCTGTTTTAATGCTTCTAATAAAAACATACCTGACACTGGGCAATTTACAAAAGAAAGAAGATTAATTGGACTCACAGTTCCACATGGCTGGGGAGGCCTCCCAATCATGGTGGAAGGCAAGAGGAGCAAGTCACGTCTTACATGGATGGCAGGAGGCAAAAAGGCAGCTTGTGCAGGGAAGCTCTCCTTTTTAAAACCATTGAATCTCATGAGACTTATTTGCCACCACAAGAAAAGCAAGGGAAAATACTGCCCCCATGATTCAATTACCTCCTACCAGGTCCCTCCAACAACACATGGGAATTCAAGATGAGATTTCAATGGGGTCACAGACAAATCTCATGTCCTCACATTTAAAAACCAATCATGCCTTCCCTAAAGTCCCCCAGTGTCTTAACTCATTTCAGCATTAACTCAAAAGACCACAGTCCAAAGTCTCATCAAGACAAGGCAAGTCCTTTCTGCATATGAGCCTGTAAAATCAAAAGTAAGTTAGTTACTTCCCAGACCCTGTAGGGGTACAGGCATTGGGTAAATACTGCAATTCCAAATGGGAGAAATTGGCCAGACAAAGGGGACTCAGGCCCCATGCAAGTCTGAAATCCAGCAGAGTAGTCAAATCTTAAAGATCCAAAATGATCTCCTCTGACTCCATGACTCACGTTCAGGTCACGCTGATGCAAGATGTAGGCTCCCACAGCCTTGGGCAGCTACACCTTTGTAGCTTTGCAGGGTATAGCCCCACTCTTGGCTGCTTTCACAGGCTGACATTGAGTGTCTATGGCTTTTCCAGGCACATGGTGCAAACTGTAAGTGGATCTACTATTCTGGGGTCTGGAGGAAGGTGACTCTCTTTCCACAGCTCCACTAGGAGGTGCTCCACTAGGGACATTGTGTGGGGACTCTGACAACATTTCCCTTTCAGACTGCACTAGCAGAGATTCTCTATGAGGGCCCTTCCCCTGCAGCAAACCTCTGCCTGAGTATCCAGGTGTTTCCATACATCCTCTGAAATCTAGGTGGAGGTTCCCAAACCCCAATTCTTGACTTCTGTACTCTTGCAGGCTCAACACCGCATGGAAACTGCCAAGGCTTGGGGCTTGTACCCTTTGTAGCATGGCTCAAGCTCTATGTTGGCCCCTTTCAGCCCTGGCTAGAGTGACTGGGATGCAGGGCCCCAAGTCCCTAGGCTGCACACAGCACAGCGACCCTGGGCCCAGCTCATGAAACCATTTTTTTTTGTCTCCTTAAGCCTCCAGACCTGTGATGGGAAGGGTTGCTGTAAAGACCTCTGACATGCCCCCTGGAGACATTTTCCCCATTGTCTTGGTGATTAACATTTAGCTTAGTTACTTATGCAAATTTTTGCAGGCTGCTTGAATTTCTTCATAGCAAATGGGATTTTCTTTTTTATCACATTGTCATCCTGCAAATTTTCTGAACTTTTATGCTGTTTCTCATTTAAAACCGAATGCCTTTAACAGCACCCAAGTCACCTGTGGAATGCTTTGCTGCTTAGAATTTCTTTTGCCAGATACCCTAAACCATCTCTCTCAAGTTCAAAGTTTTACACATTTCTAGGATCAGAACAACATGCCACCAGTCTGTTTGCTAAAACATAACAGGAGTCACCATTGCTCTGGTTCCCAAGAAGTTCCTCATCTCCATCCAAGACTACCTCAGCTGGATTTTATTGTTCATATTATTATCAGTATTTTGGCTAATGCCATTCAACAAGTCTCTAAAAAGATCCAAACTTTCCCACATTTTCCTGTCTTCTTCTGAGTTCTCCAAATTGTTCCAACATCTTCCTGTTACCCAGTTCCAAAGTCACTTTCACATTTTTGGGTATCTTTTCAGTAATACCCCACTTTACTGGTACCAATTCACTGTATTAGTCTGTTTTCATGCTGCTTATGAAGACATACCCAAGAATGGGAAATTTACAGAAGAAAGATGTTTAATTGGGCTGATGGTTCCATGTGGCTGGGGAGACCTTGCAATTATGGCAGAAAGCAAAGAGTGGCAAGTCATGTCTTACATGGATGGCTGCTGGCAAAAAAGAGAGCTTATTCAAGCAAACTTCCCTTCTTAAAACCATCAGATTTCATGAGACTTATTCATTCACTATCACAAGAACAGCATGGGAAAGACCTGCCTCCATGATTCAATTACTTCCTAATGGATCCCTCCCAAAACACATGGGAATTCATGATGGTATTTGGCTAGGGACACAGCCAAACCATATTACCCGCTGAAATCCTTCGTCGTAAACACTCCTACATAAGCATTCCTTTGATTAAGTATTCTGCTCCACCATGTCCTGATGTTTCTTATGTTAAACTTGGTGCTTCTTATACAAACTCTCCTTGTGAATACTTTCTCCCTTGTGAAATACTCAGCTAAATACTGCTTATTTTTATAAGTGTGGTGAGTCTAGAGTCTGGATCAACATTATTTCCTTTTCTATTCACTCATTCAAATAACTAGGGTTCTATTGTTATCCAGAATTCTATTTTGAAAGTTATACTATCTTATTCTTCCTCTTTTTGAACCCACAATTACTGGCATCTAGGAACTCCACACTGTCCTTTGGTCTTCTTTATTTCACATTATTTTTTATTCAACCAGGGAACAACATATATCTCTATCTTATCATCACCTTTTCCATTACAAATATTTTTCCTTCGGATACTTGTATATAATTATTCTTAATTTTGAATCAATGCTTTTTTTTACTGTTATATATAACTTCTGAGAAGCTCTATGTAAAATTACATAGCCCAAAAGATTGTGACCATTGTAAATTTATGGCTTGTAAACTCAGTATGGAAGGAAGTCTCTTTAAGTGTGGGCAAACTTGCTTCCTCACACCATACAACATCTATTAAAAACTTATATCTTGGTGGGGTGCAGTGGCTCATGCCTGTAATACCAGCACTTTGGGAGGCTGAGGCGGGTGGATCACGAGGTCAGGAGATCAAGACCATCCTGGCTAATACAGTGAAACCCGGTCTCTACTAAAAATACAAAAAATTAGCCGGGCGTGGTGGCAGGCACCTGTAGTCCCAGCTGCTCGGGAG
This sequence comes from Homo sapiens, assembly GCF_000001405.40. Lineage (NCBI taxonomy): Eukaryota > Metazoa > Chordata > Mammalia > Primates > Hominidae > Homo > Homo sapiens. Next base: position 1,822 of record NW_009646200.1, on the reverse strand, counting down.
GCTGAGGCAGGAGAATGGGGTGAACCTGGGAGGCAGAGCTTGCAGTGAGCTGAGATTGCACTACTGCACTCCAGCCTGGGCAACAGAGTGAGACTCTGTCTCAAAAAAAAAAAAAACACACACACACACAAAAAACAAGTTATATCTTGTCTTCCCCAATTCTTTGGCGTCATTTCATTTTTTTTTTTAAAGCCAACAAATGCCCTTTGCAAACAATACATAGAGAAAATTGAGGCTGGATTAGGGAGCAAGATAATGTCTAAATCAGTACTATCCTGGAATATTTCCCTGTACAATGTTTCCCTGTACAACCACTCTTCATTATAATTGCCTTTGCTCAGAGGATCTGGACTATGGCAGAATTTGAGATACACATTGAAAATGATCCCATAACAACAGACACATTTTATCATCCTTGAGCGAGTATTTTCAATTGTCACTTTTCTTCATGCTTTTCTACATGAATTATTTAAAATGTATTGAGACACTTTAATTAATATTTTCCTTAGGGCTTCATCCTTTTGCATTTATTTAGACAGCCTTACCCCAATGCTGTGTATTAAGCTTTCTCTTTTTTCAGTTTTTGGTATAGTCTTATTTATTTATTCACATATTCATTTATATATTTTGTTGTTTGCCATTTTCTTTTTTTTTTCAACTTTTACTTTAAGTTTAGGTGTACATGTGCAGGCTGTGCAGGCTGTCACATAGGTAAATGTGTGCCATGGTTTGCTGCACAGACTATCCCATCACCTAGGTATTAAGCCCAGCATTTGTTAGCTACTCTTCCTCATGCTCCCTTCCTGATCTGATAGGCCCCAGTGTTTGTTGTTCCCCTCCATGTGTCAATGTATTCTCATTCTTCAGCTCCCACTTATATGTGAGAACATGCTGTGTTTAGTTTTCTGTTCCTGTATTAGTTTGTTGAGGATAATGGCTTCCAGCTCCAAACATGTCCCTGCAAAGGACATAACCTGGTTCCTTTTTATGGCTGCATATTATTTCATGGTTTAGATTTCTTTATCAAGTCTATCATTAATAGGCATTTAAGTTGATTCCACATCTTTGCTCCTGTAAATAGTGCTACAAAGAACATATGCAAGCATGTATCTTTGTAATAGAATGATTTATATTCCTTTGAGTATATACCTAGTAATGGGATTGCTGAGTCAAATGGTATTTCTGCCTCCAGGTCTTTGAGAAATTACTACATTGTCTTCCAAAATGGTTGACCTAATTTACTCTTCCACCAACAGTATAAAAGTATTCCTTTTTCTCTGCAACCTTGCCAGCAACTGTTGTTTCTGGACTTTTTAAATAATCACGATTCTGACTGGTGTGAGATGATATCTCATTTTGATTTTTTGTTTTTTCATTTCTCTAATTAGCAGTGATGTTGAGACTTTTTCTACATATGTGTTTGCAGTATGTATGTTTTTTTTAGAATTGCCTGTTCACTTCCTTTGCCTACCTTTTAATGTTAATTTTTATAGTAAATTTGTTTAAGCTCTTTGTAGGTTTTTCCCATTCTGTAGGTTGTCTGTTCACTCTGATGATAGTTTATTTTGCTGTTCAGAAGCTCTTTAGTTTAATTAAATTCCAATTGTCAATTTTTGCTTTTGTTGTAATTGCTTTTGGCAATTTCATCATGAAAGCTTTGCCTGTGCCTATGTTCTAAAAGGTATTGCTTAGATTTTCTTCTATAGTTTTTATAGTTTTGGATTTTATATTTACTTTTTGTATATGGTGTAAGGAAGGAGTTCAGTTTCAATTTTCTGCATATGGCTAGCCAGATCTCCCAGTAGTCTTTATTATGGAATTC